>NC_000010.11:81355216-81506731 GCF_000001405.40 Homo sapiens
GCAAAGCAAAACCACAATGAGATACCAACTCACACCAGTTAGAATGGCATTCATTAAAAAGTCAGCAAACAACAGGTGCTGGAGAGGATATGGAGAGGATGTGAGATAGGAACACTTTTACACTGTTGGTGGGACTGAAAACCAGTTCAACCATTGTGGAAGACAGTGGTGATTCCTCAAGGATCTAGAACTAGAAATACCATTTGACCCAGCCATCCCATTACTGGGTATATACCCAAACGATTATAAATCATGCTACTATAAAGACACATGCACACGTATGTTTATTGCAGCACTATTCACAATAGCAAAGACTTGGAACCATCCCAAATGTCCATCAATGATAGATTGAATTAAGAAAATGTGGCACATATACACCATGGAATACTATGCAGCCATAAAAAAGGATGAGTTCATGTCCTTTGTAGGGACATGGATGTAGCTGGAAACCACCATTCTGAGCAAATTATCTCAAGGACAGAAAACCAAACACCGCATGTTCTCACTCATAGGTGGGAATTGAACAGTGAGAACACTTGGACACAGGGTGGGGAACACCACACACTGGGTCCTGTAGTGGGGTGGGAGGACGGGGGAGGGATAGCATTAGGAGATATACCTAATGTAAATGATGAGTTAATGGGTGCAGCACACCTACATGGCACTTGTACACATATGTAACAAACCTGCACGTTGTGCACATGTACCCTAGAACTTAAAGTATAATAATAAGAATAATGATAATAAAAAGCATCCCTCTCAACTCAGCCACCACAGTAGCTGGAACTACAGGTATGTACCACCATGCCTGGCTTATTTTGTTGACTTTTTGTAGAGACAAGGTCTAACTATGTTACCCACATTGGTCTCAAACTCCTGAGCTCAAGCAATCCTCCTGCCTAGACCTCCTAAAGTGCTAGGAGTACCGGAGTGCGCCACCTCACCCAGCTTCTATTGTTTTTATAATTTCTACTTTAATTACTGCTGCTCTAATCTTTATCTTCATTTAATAATTATCTTTTTCTTCTTTTTTTAGTTACTTCAGAATTCTTTTTTACAAAATCAAATCTTGTTTTCAATTTTATTCTTCTCCTTGAACATATTAAGTAGACATATGATATGGTTTGGTTCTGTGTCCCCACCCAAATCTCACCCTGAATCATAATCCTCATTATCACCATGTGTCGAGGGCAGGACCAGGTGGAGGTAACTCAATCATGGGGGCAGTTCCTTCATGCTGTTCTCACGATAATGAATGAGTTCTCACAAGATCTGACAATTTTATAAGCATTTGGCATTTCCTCCTGCCTCCCTGTGAAGAGGTGCTTTCTGCCATGATTGTAAGTTTCCTGAGGCCTCCCCAGCCATGTAGAAATGTGTCAATTAAACCTTATTTCTTTACAAATTACCCAGTCTTGGGCAGTTCTTTATATCAGCGTGAGAATGGACTAATACAACATAGGTTATTTTAATTGTGTATAAACTATTTATTTATCTTAATATTGCCTATTTTAAGTTTTTTAACTTTATTTTTATAATGCAAAATAATTTACTCTTTTTTATTGTCAATATTAAATAAAAGTTGCTCACACAATTTAAAATTTTTGTACTCTTCCATCTTCTAGCTCATCTCTTTTAAAGTTCATATTGTGTATTCCTTATTATTTCTACATTGAAGGTCTAGCAAAGCTATGTTACTTCTCCTGTATATCTACAAATGCTTTATTTTGCTTTCTTTCATTATTGATAGTATAACTGTGTATATAATTTTAGGTTGACAGTAATTTTCTTTCTGTGCTTTGTGGATGTTAACTACTATTGTTTCTTCTATTGTTGTTGATGAGAAGTCCATTGTCAGCTAATTACAAATTACTTTCTAACTGCCTAATTTTCTAATAGCTTTTAATATTTGTTCTTCTTAATATTTTACAGTTTTAATAAAATATAAGGGGATGTGGATATACTTTTTTTTCCAAAAAATTTCCTTGGTTTTCAAAGATCCCTTATAATAGAAAAGTGTGACATTTTTATTCTCAAGAATGTTCAACTATTATTGCCTTAAATATTACTTTTCCATTATTTTATTTATTATATTATTGTATCTTAGCAACTGTTTGATACTACTACACAAGTAAATGTTTAACTGAGCTTTTGAATCTGTTTGCCACATCTCTTAATGATATGTTTGTAATTTAGCAGTAAAAATCAACACATAGCTAGAATGTCAGGCCCATCCAGCCTTGACCTGCATGCCTAAGAGAAGTTTTCTAAGCCCTACTTCAATTAAGAGCAGTTGGGCTAAAGAATATTTTCTAAGGCTACCTATTTCTTAGGCAGATATGGCATTTCTGGCTCTGAAGCACAGACCTCTTTAGAGTGTGCATATGCCAGAAAAATGAAAGCAAAGGAGGAAGACTAGAGCCTACTCCTTCCTTTAATGCACTGTATAAATAAATAAATAGGACTTTAATTGTCCTCAGCCCAAAAATGTTTAGCATATAACCAATCTAATTTGGTTCCCCTCTCAACAGAGGGGCCATTAATGAACTTTATCTATGGGCAGATTTTTTTTTTTCTTTATCTGTGAGGCAAAACAGATAAAAGGAAAGAGGGAAGAGGGAGGGGAAATGATCCCTTTTCCATTAGTAGGCTTTAACAGGTATTGACTGTATCCCCACATCTTATCAGGCACGTCTACAAATATTCTGCTTATCCCACACAAACTATTTTGAGGCTGATTTTAGAATTAATTACATTGAAAGGATGAGAATCTGAAGTTTCAAATCATTAGACAGTTTCCAAAGTTCATAGCCATTAAGTTGAATAGATACGTTTGGAAACTGAGTTTATCTGCTTTCAAAGCCAATACAATTCTTCCCACATTGTTTTTCCTCCCAAGGGAGGAAGAAGTCTTGAACTCAGTCTGAAGGCAGAAATGAAATAAAATAAAAAGAGAGGCTTATAAATAGAGTTCATTACAAATCTGTGTTAGTATCACAGTAGGACCAACAAGTGTAGACTATGGTAAGAAAACCATCCTGATAGATAAAGTTAGTAAGAATGGATTGTGGGTTAAAATGAGAATTAGTTTGAGAAGAGAGGTAATATTTTAAAAATTTAAATTGTTAAGGAAAATTATCTTTGATTTCCAAGAAATATTTATGGAAAACACACATCTGGAAGAAGCTATACTGGTTCTGAGGGTATAACTGTAAAATAGATAAATATAATAACTAATGACCACTCTTCATGGGAATTTCATTCTGAGGGGAAAGTTAAGCATTGAAAAAGTAATCATCAACTGATAAATTAGACAAAGAAAAATAGAAGGTGCTATAAGACTATATGGCAAAGGAAATTAATTCATTAGTGAGTATCAGTAAGAGCTTTCCAGAGTAAGTGATGATTGAACTCTCAAGTTAAAAAGTAAGTAAATATTAGCTAAAAGTAAAGCTTGGAAACAGTGTTTGTAGATCAAAGGGGAGTGAATTAGTTGAGGAACATAGATCAGGTTATTAGGTTTTCTTGATGTGGAGGGCCCGGATTCGAGTTTTGATCTTAGACTTTTATCAGTACTCATCTTCTATTTCTAGTATTGTCTCCAATAACTCTTTTTCTTTTTCTTTTTTTTGAGATAGAGTTTCACTCTGTTGCACAGGCTAGAGTGCAATGGCACAATCTCGGCTCTCTGCAACTTTTGCCTCCCAGGTTCAAGCGATTCTCCTGCCTCAGCCTTCCAAGTACTGGGATTACAGTCATGTGCCACCACACCTGGCTAAATTTTTGTATTTCAGTAGAGACGGGGTTTCACCATGTTGGTCGGTCTGGTCTGGAACTCCTGACCTCAGGTGAACCACCTGCTTCGGCCTCCCAAAGTGCTGGGATTACAGGTGTGAGCCACTGTGCCCCGCCTCCATTAATTCTTAAATGGTCAATTGTGGCTGGAGAGAAGGGTGGTGTGATATTCCTCAAATGTTACAATTCTATGCTCCAAGGAAAGACAATGAAATAAGCAAGTTTAGGGATTTTTAAAGAAAGGATTGAAATAACCCAAGAGTTTAATCTGTAGAGAAAAAGAAGTGAAGACAAGGTAGTTATTAATAAGAATATAATGGAGTCAATGAGAAGATGATACCAAGGAGGTAGAAGAAAATATGGGGTTAATTAAAATGATACATGTTGTAGTTAGAGAGGATTGTTTTAATGAGAATTTCTGAGGTGGAAACGTTCTATCAGATGGAAATCCAGGATGTGGACAGAAGATTTGGTAGCAGGAGTGGAGTGCTTCTGAAGTTAATGGGAATGAAGAAGTCTGAAAAAAAAGAAGTCCAAATGAGAAAGACTGAAAGTTTTGGCAATTTATTCTGTTTTCCAGGTTGAGGTTGACCTTACTCTGCTATACCAGGATGTGAGGAGAGGGTATAGCAGGAAGCTAGGATGCAAAGTTGATGTATTGCAGAAAAGGTGGGCTAAAGAATAATATAGTCACACAGAATTAACCTCAGAGGAATGCAAAGATGTCTTTATAAAAGAAAGATAATTATTTCATTAAACAGATACATCTTGTACATCTACAGAGAAATAATTTGATTAAAGACAAATGAGAAAATACTTTTTGATAGAGAACATGAAAGAAGCTAATACTGTAATGATTTAATATAACAGAAGGCCAGGTGCAGTGGCTCACGCCTGTAATTCCAGAACTTTGGGAGGCTGAGGCGGGCGGATCATGAGATCAGGAGTTCGAGACCAGCCTGACCAACATGGTGAAACCCCGTCTCTACGAAAAACACAAAAATTAGCCAGGCGTGGTGGCACGTGCCTGTAATCCCAGCTACTCGGGAGTCTGGAGCAGGATAAACATTTGAACCTGGGAGGTGGAGGTTGCAGTAAGCCGAGATCACACCACTGCACTCCAGCCTAGGCAAGAGAGTGAGACTCCATCTCAAAAAAAAAAAAAAAAAAAAAAATTATATATATATATATATATATATATATATATATATATATATATATAAAATAAATAAAATGATGTGACTTGTTAAGTCAAATGTAATATAAGAGGAATGATCTTCTAATGGTAACATCAGGCAAGGAAATAAGAAAAGGAAATATAAATCTTTCAGTCTTGTTTTACAGGGCATGAGAAAATACACAAGACACATTTGAGGGGACTGGAGGGAAATGGTGTCTTCAAGAGAAACAAACAGGTGATGAAGTCACCAGTAAGTAGGCTAAGAACATAGAGTACTGTGATGATCATTAAAGAGAAACTCTAAACAGAAGGGTTCAGGAAGGAGTAAATTAGTGGGAGGTTTGGCTTAGAGAGTGTAGAAGTTTGTGCTGGACATAAATCATGAAATACAAAGATAAAGAGCTTATCAGATTTAGTTGACAGGTAGGGTTTACAATAATAAATGAGTAATCAATGTGAACTCTAAGGATTCCACTATATTCTGCAAAACATTCATAGAAGTTGTGTTGTTGATAGGATAATGCTTTTTTCTTTAGGACTTTGGAGTAAGAAAGGGCATAGGACTGTATGGGAGGGAGAAACCTAAGTAGCAAGTTGGGGTGGATGCATCATTTAGTGCCTCTCAATCTGATAGACAGATGCAAAAGGGTGAAAGACGTAAGTTGTGTTCATTTATTCAGTAGACATTACTGAACACCTACTGCAGGGTAGGCCCTGTATAAGCATTGAAAATACAACTGTCAGCAAAACCAACAGAAGATCATTGTCCTTTCATCCTGGAGAGGAAGGATAGTCAAAATATATTATAAAGATGGAAATATGTGTTATGAAGACATGTTAAAACACTAAAGAGGAGAGATATTGACAGCGTTGGTAGAAAGTTGTGAGAAAGCCAGGTGGCAGGGGTCCCTAGAAAAACTCCAACTGGCCTGCACACTGGGAGAAATGCTACCAGGCTGGAGCCACAGAGGTTTGTGCCCTTTGCGGTGGGGAGGAGCCTGGCCCCTCCTCTTCCTGCGTGGAACCTGGAATTCAAGCTGTGAGGCAGGAGGAACTCTAGCAGAGAACTCTGGCCTTGCAGAGAGTGCTTGTTCCCCCCTTTTCTTCCCTTTTACCAAATAAAACCCCACTTTACTCACGCTTCAAATTGTCTGCAAGCCTATACTTTCATGGCCGTGGGACAAGGACCCCGTGTTTAGCTGAACTAAGGAAAAGTCCTTCAACAGCTGGTTTCTTATGATGTGATCCTATAAAGCACTCCACCCCTTCCTGACCACCACCGCCACATACATGTTCATAAAGTGACATCTGAACCCAGAAAGACTTAATGCAGGTGACAGGGAAATCACAATGATATCTAGAAGAGTGGCCCAAGCAGGTCAAACATCAAGTGCACATTTCCAGGGATTAAAGGATATTTGGAGTGTTCCCAAACTGGAGTCCCATGTAGCTGAAGAGTGTGTGAAAGAGGAAGTGGGAGAAGTTGAGGTCACAGAAGTAGGAGAATAACATGAAATAATAAGGGGATGTTAGATCAATATAATGACTTTAGCTTTTACACTAAGGTTGGAAATTGCTGGAGTATTTTGACCAGGTAAGTAGCAGCACCGTTTTGTTGTTGTTGTTTTGTATTTTTATGACAGAGTCTCACTGTGTCACCCAGGCTGGAGTGCAGTGGCGTGATCTTGGCTCAGTGCAACCTCTGCCTTCCGGGTTCCAGATATTCTTGCGCCGCAGCCCCCCTCACCCCCGCCCTACCCCCTAGTAGCTGGGATTACAGGCGCCCACCACCATGCCCAGCTAATTTTTTTTATTTTTAGTAGAGACGGGGTTTCACCATGTTGGTCAGGCTGGTCTTGAACTCCCTACCTCAGGTGATCCACCCACCTCGGCCTCCCAAAGTGCTAGGATGACAGGCATGAGCCGCTGCGCTTGGCCAGCACCATTTTGTTTTAATAGGAAGGTTCTGGGTCTGTGGTGGTATCAGGCTCTTGGGCAGCAACGGGAGGAGCAGGGATGCTAATGACAACAATAAGCCGGGAGAGAGGAGGGAACTTAGTTGAAGGTGAAGTGGTGAAAGCAGTTTGAAGTGTTTGGAGCCTGAATGTATTGTGAAAGCACAGCCAACAAGATATGCTGATGTTCTGCATGTGAGAAAAAAAGAAAGGATTTAGGAAAGATACCAAGGTTTTGGTGTAAGCCATTTGGCAAGAACAGCTTACTTTATGTTAGGCTATTCTTGGAATCTCTTTTGTATAATTCTTTTGTGATGCCTTGGTGTTCTTTTGGAATGAACACTGTTTTCCATATCTGATCTAAATGTCCTCAGTCCTGATAAGAAGTTGTTAATTGACTGTCTAATTATAATTATAGAGAGATAGTGGTAGATACAAAAACTAATAATTAAGTATAAGTGAAACTCAAATTGAGTAAATATTAATTTCGACCACATCCCCTAAACATTATAACTTTCTCTATTTGAAAAATCAGATCGAATTCCCACATCTACACAATGATGAACTTGAGAACTATGAAATTAGAGCCATGGATATATTGCTGGTAACAAGTGGGGCTGTTACTACCAGAACTACATCATCCTGTTTTTTAGCCTGGTGACCCTTCCAATTTACCATGTCAGTTGATTTACTATAGAACATTTTGTTACTCTGAATAAGACTGAAAGTTGCTGAAGTATTTTGACCAGGTGAATACCGCCATTTTGTTTCAAAAAGATGGCTCTGGCTTTGTCATGCAGACTCCAAATTGTGTATTTTCATCCATTTTTGTTTGACTTGTTTCTTTCATTACTTATATTTTTATTTTCAGAGAGCCTAGTGTTTGTAATCTTACAACACAGGAATTTGTAGGATTCTGAAGCTTGTGCAACACAGAACTTAAGCTTTTCTCATCTCTCAAATCAGTCTTCTTAATTTTTCTTAATATTATAAGAATCTTCATAAGCCTGAAAGATGATTTAATAGATCATTTGCTTTGAAATTATCATATAGTGCTCCTGCTAAAGGTACTAAGATCACCAAAGACCAAAACACTACCGGTCTTTGATCACCTGTGCTAAAGGACAGGTACTCTGCAAACTGTTTCAGAGAAATTCTGTTCCAGGATCAAAGTGACTGTGTATATTGCTGTGAGTAAACCCTGGGTACTTTCAGGTGCTATGGAAACTGTTGTATCTGGGGGATTCTCTGCGACTTACCAAGCAACCTGCACCAAGTCCTGAGCAGTTGGTCTCATCGATCTTGAAACCTGGAGGTCCAGACTTAGGAAAAATCACCCTCTAGGGTTTTTTTGGATCCCCTGGCATAATTGCAGATTAGTTACAGATGCTCTATTCCAGCCACCAATTTGGAGCTCACAGGGAAAGGTGAAGACAATGGAAAGAATCAGAATTTCTGGCTGTTGTGTAGTCCTCAAGCTTCTACCACAGCTGCTATAATTAGGCCAGATGAAAGGGTTTGGAAATGAGATTTCCAGTTTTCTACCTGACATTTCTTCCTTGTTCACAATATTAGCTCATATGCCAATCCTGTATCTCCAAGTATTTTCCTGTATCTCCAAATATTTTCATAAGAGTTGCTATTATTTTGGCAATTTGATTTTTTCCAATTTTATTGAGATATATAAATATACACTTTGGAAATTTGATATATATATAAATATTTGATATATAAATATTTTTTTGGCAATTTGATTTTTTTCCAATTTTATTGAGGTATATTGACAAATAGGGATTGTATTTAGGTGTACAACAAGATGTTTTGATATATGTATATAGTGTGAAATGATTACCACCATCAGGCTAATTAACACATATATCACCTCACATAGTTACTATTTGTGTGTGTGAGAGAGAGGACAAACTTCAGATCTTTCTTTGAAAATTTCAAGCATAAAATGCACCGTCGTTATCATGTTGTACACTAGGTCTCCAGAACTTATAACTGAAATTTTGCTCTCTTAGACCAACATCTTTCCATTTTCCTCACCCCACAGTCCCTGCTAACCACACCTCTATTCTCTGTTGCTACAAGTTTCGCCGTTTCCACATTTCATTTACATGTGGAATCTATTTATAATAAATGAAATCACACAGTATTTGTATTTCTGTGTCCGGCTTATTTCACTTAGTGTAATGTCTCTCAGGTTCGTCTGTGTTATTGAAAATGACAGGATTTCCTTTCTTAAGGCTGAATAATATTCCATTGTATGTGCCTGTGTGTATGTATGTGTGTGTGTGGAGAGAGAGAGAGAGAGAGAGGAATTTGAGAAAGATTGGTATTAATTATTTAAATGTTTGGTAGAATTTACCAGTGTAGCCATAGATCCTGAGATTTACTTTGTTGGGGAATTTTTGATTACTGATTCAATCTCCTTACTCATTATTAATCTTTTCAGATTCTCTATTTCCTTTTGATTTTGTGTTGCTAGGTTTTATCTTGCTAAGAATTTACCCATTTCTACTTTAACCAATTTGTTGGTATATAGTTGTTCATAATAGTCTTTTGTATTTGTGTGGTATCAGTTCTAATGTCTTTCATTTATGTTTCATTTATTTGAGTCTTTTCCCTTTTTTTCTTAGTCTAGCTAAAGGTAACCATTTTTATGAAACAAACAAACAAAACAAAACAAAAAAACCCTACATTTTTCCATTTCTTCACTTTCAGCTGATATGTGCCTTAAAGCTAAAGTGTGTCTCCCACAGGTAGCATGTAGTTGGATCTTTATTTTTCATACATTCAGATCATTTGTCTTTTAATTGGATAATTTAATTCATTTACAATAAAAGTAATTATTCATAGGTAAAGACTTACTGTTGCCGTCTTATTGTTTTCTGCCTTTTTGGTGGGTCTTTTTTTTCTCTCTTTCTCTTGTTTCTTCCTTTGTGATTTGACAATTTCTTTTGTAGTGGTATGCTTTTATTCCTTTCTTTTTATGTTTTGTGTATCTACCACAGGATTCTTCTTTGTGACCATAGTGAGGCTTACATAAGACATATTACTGTTATAAAAGTCTATTTTAAGCTGGTAACATCTTAACCTCAATCATAATAAAAAAGTCTCCACTTTTACTTCACCCTCTTCCCATATTTTATGTATCGATGTCAAAATTTGCATCTTTTAATATTGCATATCCATTAACAAGTTATTGTAATTGTAGTTACTAACTTTTATTCTAAAGTTCACTATGATTTACTTAGCACCATTACATATTAGAATATTCAAAATTTGAATATGTACTTAAGTTTATTGTGAGTTTTATACCTTTATATGTTCTCATATTGCTACTTAGCATCCTTTTATTTAAACTTGAAGAATATCTCTTAGCATTTCTTATAAGGCAGGTCTAGTGGTGATGAACTACCTCAGATTTTGTTTTTCAGAGAAAGTTTTTATCTTCCATTCATTTTTGAAGGACAGATTTGTCAGGTATAGTATTCTTGACTGGCACTTTTTCTTTCAGCATTTTCAATGTATCATCCCATTCTCATCTTGCCTGCAAGGTTTCTCGGAAAAATTTTGATCACCTGATTGATAGAGATTTCCTTGTATGTAATGAGCCTCTTTTCCCTTGCTGCTTTCAAAATTCTCTTCAGTTCCTGATTTTTGACAATTTAATTATAATGCGTTTGGTAAAATCTGCTTTAGGTTGGACCTGCTTGGAGACCTTTGTGCTTCATTTACCTGAATAACTATACCTTTTGGCAGATTTAGGAAGTTTTCAGCCATTATTTTTTAAAATAACCTTTCTGCTCTTTTCTATCTTGTGTCCCCTTAGTGAAATCCTATAATGTGGAATAGCCTCTCCCAGCCACTCAGTTGCATTGGTCGCTTCAGTAATCTGGATGAGGCAAGAAAGAATTGGTTCTTCTGGGAAACATTCCACAAGGCTGGGGAACTGGTGATCATTCACTATGCTGTTACTTTCCTCTGTGGGTGAAATTTCAGGCTGGAATGTTCTCTCTTGGCACTGACCTGTGCCACCTTGGAAAGGGGTGACACAGGTAAGGTACTTTTTTTACCCTCTTCAATGTAGCTATTCCAAGAATTTTTGTTTCAACAGTGTGTTGGAAGCTTTCCACTGTACCCTCAGATTCCCACAAAAGTACTCTTGTCAATAGATAGTTGCCAGAATCTATGCTTCTGCTGGGGAATGATGGTAGAGAGTGCTTACTCTGACATCTTGCTAATAACATTTCCTTATTTTAGCATTTTGAAGTCGGTAATCCTGCACTAGGATTCAAGCATGCATATAAATCTACAGCACTTTTATTTGTAGGCAGACAGGAAATATTTATTTTATCACAATGTTAATTAATATTTAGTGGTTTCAAATAATACAGTAAGCTGATAATATAGCTTTATATTCCTATTATCAGAAAAGGGCCTATCACAACAAATCATTGTTCTTATTTAAAAATAGATCTTTGGAGTTTTACATCTTATAACTATTCAGTCTCCTAACTGACAAAATGACAGTTTTCAGGTGGACATTAAAATTTAACATAATAAAGTGCTATCATATGCTCTGATCTTTAAAATACTGATAATTAGAAGCATGATGTTCTTAATGAAGTTGGAATGCAATCTTTTAAATGTACAAACAAAACAAAAGTTGTTTGATGCACAAGAGTCTATCTCAGTTTTAAATGTTTATTTTTTTTCCTCTACATTTAAAAAATGTTAGGATTACATTTCAGAAACTTTGAGTAACTGGTCCAAGATTACACAACAAGTGAGAGATCTAGGATTCAAGATGAAGAACTCCTGGGTCTAAGAAGCCCAGAATGCTTCCTTATCCTACCCTGTCTCTCAGCTCCTTAGCTGGGGATTTGTAGCACATGTGTTACAAACACTTCTTGCCTCTTGCCCAAAACACAGTACAAATCCAAAGTGTGCCTTATATCACTCATTCATGCAGCCACTAACTACATTATTGATTTTTTTGACTCAAAAGACATGCAACTATTAATGTTCATCTACCAATTATAATCAAAGAAAGAAATGTCAGGAAGGATAGAGAAGATATGCCTTTGGTACCCATGCAAAATAAATATGCAAGGAGATTTCCTGGAACTCACTGACACATTAATAGTTATGTTGGATGTGTGGAGAGATTACTGGAACGACTCCCTGCTGCTCCTAGCTAACCTTTGAACAATTGCTGGCATTCTGACACGGGAAGAATGAAGCTGGAGATACTGGCTGCTGATCTTTCTGGCTATCCTAATCAGTCTGATACCATTAGAAATAAGAACAAATACATTGATAATTTAATGCATAATATGAATTTAAACTAGGGCTTAATACTTTAAAAAATTTTGTTTTTTGTATCATTTCAGATGATATTAAAATGAAAGCATCACATCAACCCAAACCTTTGAACCAGAAATGGCCATCAATATTATGAGGCAAATATTATTTGAGGCGTATATGTATGCAGATAAGTAGACAGGAAGACAGATAAAGGTAAGTTAGGAAAAGTATAATAAGTTTAGCTTTACTCCAATTGAGAGGAACAAATTGCTGAAGTAAAACTAATCACTAAACTTAGATGTCACCTAAAAGAAATGTGTCATTAAATGATGTTCTAAAGGTAATGAAGAAAAAATGATTTTTTAGAACATTATTATTTTAATCATATGGTTTGACTTTAGAGAATATCTATTATCTATCTTTTATAAAATATCAAGAAATTAGCAATTATGTTACCTTTCACCTTCTCTAAACTGTCATTCAAAATATTATTTTTATATATTTTAAAATATTATTATAAGTAAGTCATTATCCTTTCATTGCCAAGATTTATAACATATAAATTCTGTTTTGTAAACATACTTTCTTGGTTGTTTAGCCTTACTTCTATATTCACATAAACTAAATGCTAACCTTCTATTGATTTACTAATGTCTTGAATCCTGATTTTTTGAAAATTTTCTCATAAAGTATTTTTTCCTCATGAAGTACTAATATGTGCAGTTAGCCTTATTTTACTTTATTTTTTGGAATGCTTGAGAACATAAGTCAAAAAAGCATACGCAAAAGAAAACTTTACTGTAATTTTTTTTTATTCAAAACATTTCATTTTCTATTACCTTTGGGGGTATTTTAAAGGGTTCTACAGGTTTTAGAATTCTCTTTTATTAACATAGAGAAAGTTTATAGTTATTGATGAGTTCCCATAAGTCATTTGGCATTTTGAATGAATGTATATATTAAAGTTATAAATATATAACTTATTATGTAAATAACGAAGTCACACTTCTTTGCCTCCAAATTTGGAAGGCACACTTCTTTGGGTCACAATTCTTTGCCTGGGTCATACTTCTTTGCCTCCAAATTTTGTGGGCATGGTAACATTTTACAATTGTTTTCTGGGACTGAATGTTGGTGGAGAACTCATGCTAGCTTGACTTGGTTCTCTCAGTAAATGACCATTTTTTCCTCACTATTTGCATCTTATGTTAGTATTTGCATTTCAATAACCTAAGTAGGATATATTTTCTTGTTCACGATTCTCAATTTTTTTCCTGAAACAAATTATATTCTTGAATTACAGGGTCAGTTCTCTTTTAATAATATACTATTATGTATTTCCTTTTTCTTTTATATATTTTATGAACTTTAAAAAATTTTAGGGTTAATTATTCTAAAATTTGATAGTCTTATTCTCCACTTCTTTTATGTTATCTCTTACTGGTTTCAAATTGTTATTTTTCTCAGCATTCAGTATAAGTATCTCGAGTCATTTATTATTGCTGTAATTCAATTTTCAATGAGATTCCATTTGAATTTTCTTTTTTAAAAACATTCAATAGCATTTTATATTTTTAGTCTTTATATTTTCTCATAGTTGAGATTATAATGTTTTAAAATTTTTTACTTCTCCTTTTACTCAAAATTGTCATAAATATTTTCCATGTTATTCAATATTCTATGCCATTTTTTAAAATTTAATTTAAAAATATTTCTAGACTTAATAGAAAAATTGAAGAGATAATACAGAGCTCCTATATACCCTACATCTATTTTCACTTATTATTATTTTTTCCAATGTTTATTTTAAGTTTAGAGTTACATGTGCAGGATGCGCAGGTTTATTACATAGGTAAATGTTTGCCATGGTGGTTTGCTGCACAGATCATCCCATCACCCAGGTGTTAAGCCCAGCATCCACTAGCTATTCTTCCTGATCCTCTCCCTCCTCCAACCCTCCACCCTCTGACAGCCAACAGTGTGTGTTGTTCCCCACCATGTGTCCATATGTTCTCATAATTTAGATTTAGCTCCCACTTATAAGTGAGAACATGTGGCATTTGGTTTTCTGTTCCTGTGTTAGTTTGCTAGGAATAATGATTTCCAAACTCCATCTGTGTCCCTGCAAAGAACATGATCTTGTTCCTTTTTATAGCTGCATAGTATTCCATGGTGTATATGTACCACATTTTTTTATCCAGTCTATCATTGATGGTATGCCATTACTTTTAATGACTGCATGATATTTCATCATATGCAATGAACCAAGATTTACCCATCCACCCCTGATTGTTGATATTTAGATTGCAAAAAGTCAATCCTCATTCCCATTAAATTTTGTTTGTTCACTTTTTCCAGTCAAGTTATTTTCTTTCTTTTTTTTTTTTTAAGAACTCATTTTTTTTTGGTTATTTTTATGGTTTCAGGACTTAGGTCACCAGGTCATCTGTTTGCTTGGGCTGAGGTTGCTTAGTCTTTTCATACCGTTTCTCTTTCTTATCGAAAGTGGAGCGTCACTGAGAGAGAACTTTACTACTCTATTTAGAGCTCTCTCCACTCCAAGTAGTCTCCATATATTACCCATGTATTTTTCATTTATTTATATGACAATATCAGTCACTTTTTTATTTTAGATTATATTATTGTCAGCAAATATATACTTTTTAATTTCAATAGGTTTTTGGGGAACTGGTGGTGTTTAGTTACACGAATATATTCTTTAGTGGTGATTTCTGAGATATTGGTGCACCCATTACCCAAGCAGTGTACATTGTACCCAATGTGTAGTATTTTATCCCTCACTGGCCCCACCCTTTCCCCCAAGTCCACAAAGTCCATTGTATCATTCTTATGCTTTTGCATCCTGATAGCTTAGCTCCCACTTATAAGTAAGAACACACAATGTTTGGTTTTCCATTCCTGAGTTGCTTCACCTAGAATAGTGTTCTCCAATTCCATTCAGGTTGCTGCAAATGCCATTATTTTGTTCGTTTTTATGGTTGAGTAGTATTTCATGATATAGATATATATATATATACACACACACACACACTATATGCTATACACACTATATGCATATATGTGTATATATACTATATACTATATATGTATATTGTATATACTATATATAGTATACATATATATACTATACTATATACTATATATAGTATACATATATAGTATATAGTATATATTATACTGTATATATATTATACTATATATTATATTGTATATACTATATATACTTTATATAGTATATACAATATAATATATAGTATATATATACTATATATAGAGTATATATATACTCTATATATAGTGTATATATGTATATAGTATACATATACTTTTTATGGTTGAGTAGTATTTCATGATATAGATAGATATATATATACACACACACACTATATGCTATATATACACACTATATACATATATGTGTATATATACTATATACTATATATTATATAGTATATACTATATATAGTATATACTATATAATATATAGTATATTATATATTATATATAATATACTATATGTATATAGTATATACTATATATAGTATATACAATATAATATATAGTATATAGTATATATTATACTGTATATATATTATACTATATATTATATTGTATATACTATATAGTATATACAATATATATAGTATATATATAGTATATATATACTATATAGTATACATATACTTTTTATGGTTGAGTAGTATTTCATGATATAGATATATATATATACACACACACTATATGCTATATATACACACTATATACATATGTGTATATATACTATATATACTATATACACATATATGTATATATAATATATATAGTATATACTATATATAGTATATAGTATATCCTATATATAGTATATACTATATACATGTATATATATACTGTATACATGTATATATATACTATATATACATGTTCTTTATCCACTCACTAATTGATGGTCATTTGGGCTGGTTCCATATTTTTGAAATTGCAGACTGTGCTGCTATACACATGTGTATGAAAGTATATTTTTCATATATTTTCATATATTTTTCATATAATGACTTCTTGTCCTCTGGGAAGATACCTAGGAGTGAGATTGCTGGATCAAATGGTAGATCTGCTTTTAATTCTTTGAGGAATCTCCACGCTGTTTTTCATAGTGATTATACTAGTTTACAGTCCTACTAACAGTGTAAAAGTGTTCCCTTTTAACTGCATCCATGCCAACATCTATTATTTTTTTTATTATGGCCATTCCTGAAGAAGTAAGGTGGTATCACATTGTGATTTTGATTTGCATTTCCCTGATGATTAGTGATGTTGACTGTTTTTTCATATGTTTGTTGACCATTTCTATATCTTCTTTTGAGACTTGTCTATTCATGTCATAGCCCACTTTCTGATAGAATTGTTTGGTTTTTCTTGCTGATGCCTTTGAGTTCCTTGTAGATTCCAGATATATTAGTTCTTTGTTGGATGTATAGATTGCGAAGATTTTCTCCCACTCTGTGGGTTGTCTGTTTACTCTACTGATTATTTCGCTTGCTGTGCAGAAGTTTTGTAGTTTAATTAAGTCCCATCTGTTTATCTTTGTTTTTGTTGTGTTTGCTTTTGGGTTCTTGGTCATGAAGTCTTTGCCTCAGCCAATGTGTAGAAGGGTTTTCTCCAATGTTGTCTTCTAGAATTTTTACGGTTTTAGGTCTTAGATTTAAGCCTTTGATCCATCCTGAGATGATTTTCATATAAGGTGAGAGATGAGGATCCAGTTTCATTCTTCTAAATGTGGCATGCCAATTATCCCAGAACCATTTGTTGAATGGGGTGTCTTTCCCCACTTTCTGTTGTTGTTTGCTTTCTTGAAGATCAGTTGACTCTAACTATTTGGCTTTGTTTCTGGGCTCTCTATTCTGTTTCATTGGTCTATATGCCTGTTTTTATACCAGTACCATGCTGTTTTGGTGACTATGGCATTAGAGTATAGTTTGAAGTTTGGTAATATAATGCCTTCAGATTTGTTCTCTTTGCTTACTCTTGCTTTTGCTATGCAGGCTCTTTTTTGGTTCCATATGAATTTTACAGTTGTTTTCTAGTTCTGTGAAGAATGATGGTGGTATTTTGATAGGAATTGCATTGAATTTGTAGATTGATTTTGGCAGCATGGTCATTTTCAAAATATTGATTCTACCCATCCGTGAACATGGGATGTGTTTCCATTAGTTTGTGTCATCTATGATTTCCTTCAGTGGTGTTTCATAGTTTTCCTTGTAGAGGTCTTTTACCTTGTTGGTTAAGTATATTCCTAAGTATTTAATTTTTCTGTAGCTATTGTAAAAGGGGTTGAGTTCTTGATTTGATTCTCATCTTGGTTGCTCTTTGTGTATGGCAGGGCTAATGATTTGTGTACATTAATTTTGTATCCCTAAACTTTGCTGAATTCATTTACCAGTTCTAGGAGGTTTTTGGATGAGTCTTTAGGGTTTTCTAGGTATACAATAATATCATTGGTGAACAGTGACAGTTTGACTTCCTTGTTACTGATTTGGGTGCCCTTTATTTCTTTCTCTTCCTGATTGCTCTGGCTAAAAGTTCCCCTACTATGTTGAACAGAAAAAGTGAAAGTGGGCATCCTTGTCTTGTTCTAGTTCTCAGTGGGAATGTTTTCAACTTTTTCCCATTCAGTATAATGTTGGCTGTGGGTTTGTCATATATGGCTTTTATTACCTTAAGGTATTTTGCTTCTATGCCAATTTTGTTGAGGATTTTAATCATAAATGGATGTTGGATTTTGTCAAATTCTTTTTCTGTGTCTATTGAGATGATCATGTGATTTTCATTTTTAATTCTGTTTATGTGGTGTGTCACATTTATTGACTTGCATATGTTAAATCAGCCCTGCATTCCTGATATGAAGCCTACTTGTTCTTTGTTGACTATCTTTTAAATATGCTGTTGGATTCAGTTAGCTAGTATTTTGTTGAGGATTTTTGCATCTAGGTTCATCAGGGATATTGATCTGTAGTTTTCTTTGTTGTTATTTCCCTTCCTGGTTTTGGTATTAGGGTGTTGCTGGCTTCATAGAATGATTTAGGGAGGATTCCCTCTTTCTCTATCTTTTGGAATAGTGTCAATAGGATTGGTACCAATTCTTCTTCAAATGTCTGATAGAATTCAGCTGTTAATTTGTCTGGTACTGGACTTTTTTTGGTGGTAACTTTTTAGTTACCATTTCAATCTCACTGCTTGTTATTATTGGTCGTTCAGAGTTTCTACTTCTCCCCAGTTTAATCTAGGAGGGTTGTATATTTCCAGGAATTTACTCATCTCCTTTAGGTTTTCTAGTTTATGTGTGTAAAGTTGTTCATAGTAACCTTGAATTATCTTTTGTATTTCTGTGGTATCAGTCATAATATCTCCCATTTTGTTTCTAATTGAGCTATTTAAATTTTCTCTCTGCTTTTCTTGGTTAATTTCCCTAATGGTCTATCGATTTTATGTGTCTTTTCTAAGAATCAGCTCTTTGTTTCAATTATCTTTTGTATTTTTTGTTTCAATTATCTTTTGTATTTTTTGTTTCAATTATCTTTTGTATTTTTTGTTTCAATTTAATTTAGTTCTGCTCTGATCTTGATTATTTATTTTCTTCTGCTGGGTTTGGATTTGGTTAGTTATTGTTTCTCTAGCTTTTTATGGTGTGACCTTAGATTGTCTATTTGTACTCTTTCAGACTTTTGGATGTAGGCGTTTAATGCTATGAACTTTCCTCTTAGCAGCACCCTTGCTGTATCCCAGAGGTTATGGTAAGTTTTGATAAGTTCTTTGTTTAGTTCAAAGAAGTTTTAAATTTTGGTTTAGATTTTATTGTTCACTCAATGATCATTCAGGAGCAGGTTATTTAGCTTCCATGTATTTGCATGGTTTTGAGGATTCCTTTTAGAGTTGATTTCCAATTTTATTCCACTGCGGTCTGAGAGAGTACTTGCTATAATTTAGATTTTCTTAAATTTGTTGAGACTTGTTTTGTGGCCTATCACGTGGTCTATCTTGGAGGATGCTCCATGTGCTGATGAATAGAATGTATATTCTTCAGTTGTTGGGTAGAATGTTCTGTAAATACCCGTTAAATCCATTTGTTCTAGAGATAGTTTAAGTCCTTTGTTTCTTTGTTGACTTTCTGTCTACTCCTGCTTGCTTTTGTGTCCACATCTTCTTCCGCCCCTTTAGCTTAAGTTTTTGTGAGTCTTTATGTGTCAGGTGAGTCTACTGAATACAGCAGATACTTGGTTGGTGAATTCTTATCCATTCTGCCATTCTGTATCTTTTAAGTGGAGCATTTACATTGAGCGTTAGTATTGAGATGTGAGGTACTATTCTATTCATGGTGCTATTTGTTGCCTGCATACCTTGGTTTCATTCATTGTGTTATTGTTTTATAGGTCCTGTGAGACTTATGCTTTAAGGAGATTCTATTTTGGTGTATTTTGAGTATTTATTTCAAGATTTAGAGCTTCTTTTAGCATTTCTCATAGTGCTGGCTTGGTAGTGGCAAATTCTCTCAGTGTATGTCTGAAAAAGACTGTATCTTTCCTTCGTTTATGAATTTTAGTTTCAATGGATACCAAGTTGATAATTGTTTTATTTAAGGATGCTAAATATAGGACACCAATCCTTTCTAGCTTGTAGGGTTTTTGCTGAGAAATCTGCTGTTAATCTGATAGGTTTTCCTTAATAGGTTGCTTGATGCTTTTGGCTCACAGCTCTTAAGACTCTTTCCTTTGTCTTGACTTTGGATAACCTGGTGACTATGTGCCTAGGTGATGATCTTTTTGCAATGAATATCCCAGGTGTACTTTGAGCTTCTTGTATTTGGATGTAAGGGTTTGACTCTTCTCATTGACAGATGTCTAGATCTCTAGCCAGGCCAGGGAAGTTTTCCATGATTATTTCCACAAATATGTTTTCCAAACTTTTAGATTTTTTTTCTTCCTCGGGAACACCAATTAATTTTAGGTGTGGTCATTTAACATAGTCTCAAATTTCCTGATGGCTTTGTTAATTTTTTAAAAAATTATTACCCATTTATTTTTGTTATACTTCTCAATACCTCTCAGTACATGAGCTGTCATTGAAAAATGAATTAATTAGTACACTTATTACCTTTCTTTCCTCCTCACCACTGTCGCCTTTAATATTTAAGGTTAAATTCGTTAGTGGAATAACTTCTTTTACCAGTGACTTGCACAAAATAGGTGCTTAATAATTTTGGTGTTAGTAAATTGTTGACAGAAATCCTATACAAGTAAAGGAAATGTAGAATCTTCTAGAAATTGAATATTATATTCGAAAGTCTGCTTTTTCATCCAATTTGCCAATCTTTACGCTTACCTTATGTGTCAAATATCATTCTAAACCTATTAGCTAGAGTCTAAAACATTTGTCCAAATTCACGTAACTAAGAAATGTTATATTAGTGATTCAAAATAACACCTGTGTAATTCAAAAGTCCTGATTTCTGTTTATCTCACATCAGTAAGCTACCAATATTTATAGATAAGGAGAAAGAATAATAAAATATTTTAAGATGACTTTTGCATTTTATATTAAGTCAATTTCTTATAATTGTCCTAAGGGGAAGATATTGTTCAGAGTCTCTAATTCTACTTTTTATAGTTGGATAATGCAATAAGTAAAGCATAAAAAACAAAATTAAAAATTGACTTTTAAGAATAATTAATTATAATTAATATTTACCAAATACATGAACTAGTATATGAGAAACCTTCAGAAACTGGAAAATATAAACACCTTAATGAAGACATTTCAAAGAAATGATATTTAAAGAAGTTTTTTAAAAAAGAAATAAAAATGGTCAATTATCATGTAAAAAGTTTTTTAAGCTCAATGATATGAAAGAGATGAAAACTGAAATAATTTTTTCTACCACATTAGTAGATTAGTAAATAATGATAATACTCAATGATTGTTTGGATGTGAATAAACTAGCAGGAATATATGCTTCCACTTGGAATGTAAACTACAACATTTCCGTAAAGAAATTAGCAATATATCTTAAAATTTTAATTATGAAAAAATGATATCGCCCTTTATTTCTGCTGGAAATTTTTCCCAACCAATAATTAAACAAATCGCCAAATATGTATGGTGTGTGGTGTGTGTGTGTGTGTGTGTGTGTGTGTGTGTGTGTGTGTGTTTAAAATCTGGCCACTGCAATGTTTTTCTAATCTGCCAATTTATAATGGAGTTTTTTTTTCTTGTTGACTTGTTTGAGCATCTTGTAGATTCTGGATATTAATGTTTTGTTGGAGACATATTTGTAAATATATTCCACCATTCTGTAGGTTATCTGTTTATTCTGTTGGTTATTTCCTGTCATGTGTAGAAGCTTTTTAGTTTAAGTCCTATTTGTCTATTTTTGTTTTCGTTGCAACTGCTTTTGGGGTCTTTGTCATATGTTTTTTATATAGGCTAATGTCCAGAGTTTATCCCAGGTTTTCTTTGAGGATTTTTGTAGTTCTAGGTCTTACATTTAGGTGTGTAATCCATCTTGAGTTAATTTTTATATGGTGAGAGACAGAAGTCCAGTTTCATTCTTCTGCATATGGCTAGCTAGTTTTTCCAGCACCAATTATTGAATAGAGTGTCGTTTTTCCACTGTTTATTTTTGTTAACTTGTTAAAAAATCAGTTCGTTGAAAGTATGTGGCTTTATTTCTGGGTTCTCTATTCTGTTTTGCTGATCTATATGTCTATTTTTGTACCAGTTCCATGTTATTTCAGCTATTATAGTGTTGTAGTATAATTTGAAGCCAAGCAATATGATGTCTCCAGATTTTCGTTTGTTTGTTTGTTTTTTTAGTTTTTTATTGCTTTGGCTATTCAGGCTTTTGGGTGAGGGGGCTTCCATAGAAACTTTAAGATTGTTTTTTCTAATTCTGTGAAAAATGACATTGGTAGTTTGATAGGAATTGCTTTGAATCTGTAGATTGCTTTGGTTAATATGTTCATTTTAATGATAATCTATTCTTTTTATCCATGAGCGTGGGATATTTTTCCATTTACTGGTGTTGTCTACAATTTCTTTCATCAGTGTTTTGTAATTCTCCTTGTAGAGATCATTCACCTCTTTGGTTAAATGTATTCTAGGTATTTTTTTGTGGCTATTGTAAATGGAGTTATTAATTTGGTTCTATGCTTGAACTTTACTGGTGTATAGAAATGCTACTGATTTTTGTATGTTGATTTTGTATCCTGAGACTTTACCAAAGTCACTAACGAGGTCTAGCAGTCTTCTAGATTAGTTTTTAGGGTTTTCTAGATATATAATCATGTTGTCAGCAGATAATTTGGTTTCTTCTTTTCCAATTTGGATGCCTTTCATTTTTTTTTTCTCTTACCTGATTCCTCTGGCTAGGACTTCTAGTATTATGTTGAATTGGAGTAGTGAAAGTGGGCATCCTTGTCTTGTTACAGTTCTTAGGGGAAATATTTTCAACTTTTCTTCATTCAGTATGATGTTGGCTCTTGGTTTTTCATATGTGTCTCTTATTATTTTGAGGTACATTCCATCTGTGGCTTGTTGGTTGAGGGTTTTTATCATGAAAGGGTGTTGGGTTTTATTGAGTGATTTTTCTGCATCTACTTAGATGGTCATATGGTTTCAAAATATCTTAAATACAATAAAGTATGAATTCAGGCTTATTTAATTTTAGGAATAATTTTACACTGTTGGTGGGAATGTTAACTAGTTCAACCATTGTGGAAGACAGTATGGCAATTCCTCAAGGATCTAGAACCAGAAATACCATTTGACCAAGCAATCCCATTACTGGGTATATACCCAAAGGAATATAAATTATTCTACTCTAAAGACACATGCACACATATGTTTAATGCAGCACTATTTACAATAGCAAAGACATGGAACCAACCCAAATGCCCATCAGTGATAGACTGGATAGAGAAAATGTGGTACTTATACACCATGGAATACTATGCAGCTGTAAAAAGGCTGAGTTCATTTTCTTTGCAGGGACATGGATGAAGCTGGAAGCCATCATCCTGAGCAAACTAACACAGGAACAGAAAACCAAAAACCGCATGTTCTCACTGGCAAGTGGGAGTTGAACACTGAGAACACATGGACACAGAGAGGGGAACAACACACAGCAGGGCCTGTTGGGGGATGGGAGGTGAGGAGAGGGAACTTAGAGTGCAGCAAACCACCATGGCACATGTATACATATGTAACAAACCTGCAAGTTCTGCACATGTATCCAATTTTTTTTAGAACAAGTAAAGGGAAAATAATAATAAAATAAAATAAAGTAAAATAAAATACAAAATAGAATGTAGTCTATCAATGACATTTTATGTAGCTATTCAATATTGTTTTATATATTGATCTAGGGAAATATTAATAACTCTATACTATGACATTATTTAAAGAGCATGGGACAAAACTTGTAAATTCTTAATATTTTTGTCAGAAATGTGATGTTAGCTTTTTCTTATATCCAGTGTTAAATTTTTCTAGGAAGGCTATGTATTTTGCAATAAGAAAAAATATGTATATGTTTCAATTTTCTTTCCACCAGTTGAAACCTTAGACTTTCAAATGTTTCTCAAAATTTATTTTAAATTGAATTAATCCTTGCCTCTTATGACATGCATTTACTTATGTGCTTATTTTTACCTTTTGAAGTCATTTATCTTTACATCTTTCATTAGGATAAGTGACTCAGTTTATATGTTCTCACCGTCCATTAAAGTGTAAATTAAAAAAATAATAATTGTGGCAACAAGCCTCTTTATATAAATTCATAAATTTTTACATGATAAGATTTTGATTTTTAAAAATTTATTTTATAGGTTATATTTTTAATATGTTTAGTGTGGAGTTTGCTTTTAGCTAACTGTATTTTTGCTACAGTATTCATGTTGAAGGAGGCAGACAAAATTAGTTTAAAGCATTTAAACTAATTTTGCATTTTGCATTGCTTTTCCTTAAGCTGTTGTTTTCTGTATTCCTCATTCTCCATTAATAACCTTCTCTGTTTCATCAGATGCAAAGCATTTTCCTTCTGTGGCCTAAAAACATTTTCAAATACACACTAACATTATGCCACAAAAGCATTTTATAATGAATAGCCCATGTTTTACAAGGTTTAACATTTTCTTCTGTTGTGTATTTACAATGGCTACAGTAATGTACAAAGATTTCTCAAAGACATCTGTGAAAACTGCTTTGTTAATGTATATCCACATTGCAAGCAATTTCCTCTCTATCATGTCAGTATTGTTGAAAACATGTGTTAGAGGTTGGCTCACAGGACATCACTTACTCTGTTGGACTGTGGAGAACAGAAAGAATGGCAAGACTGTGAGTCCATAATATAAGAGGGACTGTGGTTGGCATCAACCTAAAGTCGCTTAAAGTATAGTTTTTAAAAGTTAAAAAGAAAAACTGTTGAGCTGTTTTCCAGAATGGCTGTATCATTTTACAGTCTCATTGGCAATGTATGAGTGATCAGTTTCTTTACATTCTCTCCAACATTGTGTTTTCTATATTTTATTTTAGCCATTTTGATTGGTGTGTGGTTTGGCAGTTACATGAATATTTATTGCAGCTTTATTTGTAAGAGCCAAAACTCAGAAACAAACTGGAGGCCCATTAACAGGTAAGCGGTTAAACAAATTGTGATACCTGCACTGCATGGAATACTACTCAGCAATAAAAAGGAGTGTACTATTGCTATGTGCACCCACTTGAATGAACCGCAGGGGATTAGACTAAGTCAGAAAAGCTATCTACTATATGATTCTATATGACTGTATGATTCCATTTAAATACATTCTTGAAATGGCAAAATTATGAAAATGGAGAACAGATTAGTGGTTGCTAGAGGTTAAAGGAGAAGATAGGCATGGGAGGAAAGTGAGTGTCATTTAAAAACGGCAGCATAAAGAGTCCTTATGATGATGGAAATATTCTATATTATGAGTATGTTGTTAAACATATAAACATATACATGTGATAAAATTTTATAGAACTAAATACCTGTGCAGATACACACAACAAGTAAAACTGGCAAAATCTGAACAAGATCAGAATATAGTATCATTGTATCAATGTCCATATCCTCATTATGGTACTATACTATAGTTTCACTATTATCACTGGATAAAGTATACATGAGATCTCTCTGTATTGTGCCTTATAATTATGTGAATCTATAATAATTTTAATATAATTTATTTAATTTTTTAAAAAGTTCCAAAGAGAGTGACCACTCAATCATACATAAGTAGCTTATAAGAAGATGGTACATCAGTTTTCAGGTTTCCGTCCTATAGGTGGTGGACTCTACATTTTCCAGGGCTCAGTCATGACTTTGGACATTATCTTTCCCAGAATGGTAAGTTTTAAATTCTTAGTGAAGCTTAAGGTAAACTATGATGTAGAGGTTCTGTTCTGCCTACCATTTTCCTTACTTATATAGACTTGTGTTTGCTATTCAATTTTCTATTCATTCCGTTAACATACAGGATTCAGTTAGAGAAAATAATAAAATAAAGCTCCTATTTTTTTATTTACTAAAGAGAATTAGTTATGTAAAGACATTGGAAGGAAATAAGGGGGAAAAAGAGTTTTGGAGGAGAAGAAATAAACAAGAGAGCTATCTAGAGATTAGTAACTTCAGGAAGCCACTGCCATTCTTAGAACTGGGAAAGGTGAGTAAAGAAAGGAGATGGTGTTAGTAGGACCCCAGACATTTGGTTCTGCGCTGCTGGGGTTCTGCCCAGTTAGTCCTAGAATTGGAAAGGAAGGGCCCACCTTCAATCATAGTAGAGCTCCATATATGATCCACCAGACAGGAAGTTCTGGTTGAAATTGGGAACACAGAAGGAGATAACTACTTTTATAGGTGCCTCTAGAAGCAAGAAAAGGAAGGAGAAACTAGCTTTTCTTCTCGTCCTATTTTCTGGTCTACTGTGTTTTTTCCTACTGGCAAAGTCTGGTAACTAGCTGTAAGGTGAGAATGGGCAATGTAGTTTGCAGACTATCAGACTTAGTGTTACAGACAAATCTTAGTTAAGATCAGTGCATGTCAAGCTGAGAAAGAACAGGAGAAAATAGACAAGATTATCTTTTACATTTATTTATATGTAAATAAATATTGATAAAATATTAAAATATTTAACTAATTATACAAAAATCAGAAAGAGGACATGTCATCTTTTAGGGTCTATGAATTTGAACACTACTAATACCAACATGGGGCTATGTACACATGTGTATTCATATTGTTGAGCATAACTTACGTATAGCTCCTTTACTGAATAAAGATATATCTTCAGCAGTTGTCTTCAAACATTGGGATGTTAGCCCTTAGGGAAACACTAACGTGTTGTAAGGGGCATATAAGCATTGATTGTTTCAACATTTTCAATTTACAAATCTTCAATTTCAATATGTAGCTTTTCTTAAAATTGAGATGTTCCAGAGTGCTCATTTTGGAAATGTCTCAGGCTAGCTCTCCCTTATCACTCTTTTCACCTCATGCTTTTAGCAATATACAAAACAAAGGCAAGCCTTATCTAATTTGTATTGTAGTGCATTGCATTGCCTTGGAGGTTATAAATTCATATTCATGCTTACGTGGATGCAAGTATACTAGTCTCTTTAAACATTTGCCAATTTCTTTCTTTATGCTTCCCAAGCCCTTCCTTGGTTAGTGAGACTATTTTAAAGATATTACTATAAATAACAGCAACCATTAATACACCTTTAGTAAGCCCCACACTAAGGACTCAAAGCCTTATTTGCTCTCTGCTATTAATTTACACAAAATAAGTTTCCGTCCTAAAAGCAGAATATATGCATAAAAGCATCTATAGTATCAGAATATTTCTAATATTCCACCTGGAATTTATAGTCCAGAAATTTAGAAAGCAACTGCATCTATTTAGGATTAGCTTATATAAGGTTTTATTTTTTATTGCAAATATTATTTTCAACTGTGAATTAAAATTATTAACATATATGTAATTATTATTAGGTGTCACATTTGTCACTTCTTGTTACATCTGTTTTAAACAATTTTAGTTTACTTACAAAATTAAAACTGGGCAGAAACTATGATATTTCTAATATCAAACAGTTATTTTGGTCCCAAATTCACCTAGTTTCAGTTCCATTTATAAGGTTTCTCTAAGTGAAAAATTATACTTCTTTGATAAGTCTCGCTTAATCCACAATGTATTAATTTCTAGAAACTGACAAAAATGATTTATGACTGTGTCACAAACATTTCTTCAAGACCTATAATTTTCAATACTTTGCTTTCAGCAAATTGAGTAGTTGGAGAGCACCTAATTGAGTTATCAGCTGATTAAAATCTTTTTGATGATATATCTTTATGCAATATGTAATTATAACTCAGAAGAACTTTAGAGAACTGAGTGACACTGTATTGTCAAATGCCATCTAACCCAACCATACATATAAATGTTCTCAGTTTTAAAATATATAAAAAAAGGAATAATTGTTACTTAACTTTATACCATTGTAGAAGTACTTTTAAATTGTTTTAATTTTACACTGATACAGAACAAAATATTTATTGCCCGTGTTCACAGAAAATTATTTAAAATTTTTCAGTTCAAAAAGATTTTGTTGATTTCTATGATGGGCAGATCAACAAAAAGCTTTCAAGAATAAAAATATTTTGTCTTAGTATACAATTCCAATAACGTCAATCTCCACCAAACCTTCAGGCTTATGGGTGGTGATAACTCTGCTGAGACTAGTTTCCAGTTCATGAGTTAACACGGAAGGTCTCCCAATACCACCCATACTTTTATAATTAAAATTTGGTAAATATGCTATCCTTAAATCCTAATGGATTATGCCTTAGGTTTCAAATTTGGGATTCTGATTTACATGGTATGAAACTGGAACTATGTGAGAGACTAATACTTTTTCAGTATTCATTAATAATAAATAAATAAAATAGACAAAAACAAAATAAAAAATAATAGACAAAAACAAAGTTGCTAGAATAAATGCTTTGAAAATAAATATGTAATAGAATAATAGATATGGAAAGGGATTTAGGGAGTACCTACTCTACCAACTGCTACTTCCTCTATAATACTGCATGAAATGTTTTCTTTATTTAAAATTTATATTCAACACTAAGAAACTGAATTAGGACACATTGTCTAACTGCCATCAATGGAAATTGCACTTTTTGCATAATCAATTCAAGAAAAAATTCTTTACCTCAATTAAATCTAAGTTGTGAAAATTTAAAACAATAAAATTAAAACACTGTATAAAATGACAATATTTAAAACTTTTAAGATATTATATACCTGTATGTATTAAACTGGACAGAGGAAAGATCAGGTTTCTGTTGAGACTAGATGACACAGTGCCCTCTCATCCTTTGAATTCATTCAAAGCATCCCCTGAACCTCTACCCTTCTTTTATGTAAGGAGAGGAATAAAGAGATGGTTTCTGAACTTTTTTTTTTTAATCCTAGTAACTCCTTTAGAAATCTAATGCTATCTTTAAATTGTTGGAGCCCTTGTCATGTATGTGTTTCAACTATGAGACTTCAGCTGCATGAAAGTATGATTAAGGAGGAAACATACTTTTTTGGCATTCTGTTACATGTATGAATTGTACACTGCTGTTTTTGCATAGAGAACGGATTTATAAGCAGGAACACATCAATCCTACTCTTACTGTTAAATATAAAATCTCAAATTTAAGTGATTTAACTTTCTGAAAAACTACCCTAACACCTATGAGAGAGAAAGGTGAATAAGCAAAATGGTCATATGAACAGTATAAATGTTCTACATTGTGTTTAAGACAAATGACAAAAAGGGGGAGACTTTATGTAACAGATTTATTGAGATACAATTTATATGCATTTGATCCTTGAACAACCCGGGTTTGAATTGCACAGGCCCACTTATACACCGGATTTATTTTTAACCAAACGGAGATTAAAAATACAGCATTAGGGATGGCCATGATGACTTATGCCTGTAATCCCAGCACTTTGCATAGTGGAAGGATCCCATGAGTCCAGTTATTTGAGCCCAGCCTGGACAACATAGTGAGACACTGTCTCTACAAAATATAAAAAATTAGCTGGGTGTATGGTGTAGTCCTTGCTACTCCGAAGGTTGAGGATAGAGGATGGCTTGAGCCCCAGTAGTTCAAGGCTATAGTGAGCTGAGATCACGCCACTGCACTCCAGCCAGGACAACAGAGTGAGAGCCTGCATGCATGCTCTGAAAGCATGCATGCAAGCAAGCAAGCAAGAAAGAAATTACAGCATTTGCAGGATGTGAAATCTACATATAATATGGAGGACCAACTTTTTGTCTTTGCAGGTTGAGGATGCGTGGATTTTGGCATACACAGGTTGGGTAGGGTTTCCTTTTAGTGAAGGTAATTTTTCTCTGGTGATAGGATTTAGTTTCTCACTTTATATTTCGTGTGCATTAATTATATGGTTTTTGGTTTGAGGTTACTATGAGGCTTGCAAATCTTATTTTATAATCTATTATTTTAAGCTGATAACAACTTAACACTGTTTGCACAAGCAAGCAAGCAAGCAAGCAAAAAGAAAGCTTATATTCTATGCCTTAACTTCATCCCTTTGTGTTTTAACCTTTTATTGTTTCTTTTCATATCTTATTGTACTTGTCTATGTCTTGAAGATATGTTGTAGTAGTTATGTTTGATTGATACATCATTTAATCTTTCTACTTAAGAGTAGTTGATACATTACAATCACAGTGCTATAAATTCTTTTTTTTTTTCTGTGTACCTACTATTACCGGTAAGTTTTACACCTGCAGATGATTTCTTGTTGCTCTTTAACATCCTTTTCTTTCTGATTGAAGTACTCCCTAAAGCATTTCTTATAGGACAGGTCTGGTGTTGATGAAATCCCTCAGCTTTTTTAGTCTGGGAAATATTTCTCTTTCATGTTTGAAGGATATTTTTGCCAGATGTACTATTCTATGTTAAAAGTTTTTTTTCTCCCCATCAGCACTTTCCTCTCTCCTGATTTGTAAAGTTTCACCAAAAGTCTGCTACCAGACATATTGGAGCTCCATTGCATGTTACTCGTTTCTTTTCTCTTGTTGCTTTTGGGATCCTTTCTTTATCCTTGACCTTTGGAAGTTTGATTATTAAGTGTCTTAAGGTGGTCTTTGTGTTAAATCTTAGTGTTCTATAATGTTCTTGTTCTTGGACATTGATATCTTTCTCTAAGTTTGGGAATGTCTGTTGTTATTTCTTAGCATTAACTTTCCACCTCTATCTCTTTCTCTACCTCCTCTTGAAGGCCAATAACTCTTAGATTTGCCCTTTTGAGGCTATTTCTAGATCTTGTAGGCATGCTTCATTGCTTTTTATTCTTTATTATTTTCTCCTCTCTGTGTATTTTCAAATAGCCTGCCTTCAAGCTGACTAATTCTTCCTTCTTCTTGATGAATTCTGCTATTAAAAGACTCTGATGTGGCCAGGTGTGGTAGCTCACACCTGTAATCCCAGCACTTTGGGAGGCCGAGGTGGGTGGATCACCTTAGGTTAGGAGTTCAAGGCCAGCCTGGCCAACATGGTGAAACCCTGTCTCTACTAAAAATACAAAAAAATTAGCTGGGTGTGGTGGCAGGCACCTGTAATCCCAGCTACTCAGGAAGCTGAGGCAGGAGAATCACTTGAACCCAGGAGGCAGAGGTTGCAGTGAGCTGAGATCGTGTCATTGCACTCCAGCCTGGGTGACAGAGAGAGACTCTATCTGAAAAAAAGAAAAAAGAAAAAAGAAAAGACTCTGATATTCTTCAATATGCCCATTGCATTTTTTCAGCTTCAGAATTTCAGCTTATTTTTAATTATTTCAATCTCTGTTAAATTTATCTGATTGAATTCTGAATTTCTTCTCTGTGTTATGTTGAATTTCTTTGACTTTCCCCAAAACCGCTATTTTGAATTCTCTATCTGAATGGATACATATCTCTATTTCTCCAGGATTGGTCCCTGGTGCTTTATTTAGTTCATTTGGTGAACATTATGTTTTCCTGGATGGTCGTGACACTTGCAGATGTTTATCTGTGCCCAGGTATTAAAGAATTAGGTATTTATTGTTGTCTTCTCAGTCTGGGCTTTTGTGCAACCCTCTTTCTTGGGAAGGCTTTCCAGATATTTGAAAGAATGTGGGTGTTGTGATCTAAGCTGTATCTGCTTTAGGAGAGAATCCCAAGCCTAGTAATACTGTGTGTGGTTCTTGCAAACTCATAGAGTCACCTCCTTGATGGTCTTGGACAAGATCCAGAAGAAATATCTGGATTATGAGGCAGAGACTCTTACTCTCTTCCCTTACTTTCTCCCACGTGAATGGAGTCTCTCTGTCTGTTCTGAGCAACCTGGAGCTGGGGGTGGAGTGGCACAAGTACTCCTCTGGTTGCCAAGACTAGGACTGTGTTGGGTTGGATCTGAAGCCAGCACAGCACTGACTCTTGCCCAAGACCTGCTGTAAGCACTCCCTGGCTACAGCCTATGTTCACGCAAGGTCCTGCGGCTCTACCATTGGCAGGTGGCAAAGCCAGCCAAGCTTGTGTCCCTCCCTTTAGTGTGGCAAGTTCTCCCAGGCCCCAGGCATGTTCAGAGATGCCATCCTGAAGCTAGGGACTAGATTCAAAAACCTTGGAAATCTACCTGATGTTCTATTATACTGCAGCTGAGCTGGCACTCAACAATACTTAGTCCTTCCCACTCTTCTTTCCTACTTCCAAAGGCAGAGGATCCTCACCCCATGGCCACTGACACCACAGGTCAATAGGGTATACTGCCAGACTATGACTAATATTCCCTTAAGGTCCAAGGGCTGTTCAGTCAGCTTGTGGTGAATGCTGCCTGACCTGGGACTCAGTTTTCAGGGCAGCGGGTTCCCCTCTGGCCCAGAGAAGGTCCAGAAATGCCATCCAGGAGCCAAGTCATGGAACTGGGGACCCCAAGAGCCTGCTTGGTGCTCTACCCGCCTGTGGCTGAGCTGGTACCTAAGGTACAAGACAAAGGCCCCTTTACTTTTCCCTCTGCTTTTCTCAAGCAGAAGGAGTCTCACCCCATAGCCATCACAGCTGGGAATGTGCTGAGTCTTATCTGAAGCCAGCAAGGGCAATTACCTATAAGTGGAAATAATGAATAACTCTAGGTTTGACTTTTTGAGAATTTAGAATAGTGTTTTCCAAAGCCACTATACTTTATGTTCCTACCAGATTATGTCTCTTATTGTATTAATATTATTTATTTTACTGTTTGATTCAATATGCTACATCAACTTTTTTTTTTTTTGAGCTGTAGCCAAGGAGTGGTTACAGCAGGTCTTGGGCAAGACTCAGTGCTGTGCTGGCTTCAGATCCAACCCAACACAGTCCTAGTGGTGGCGGCCACAGGAGTGCTTGTGCACTCTAGCTCTGTTGCCCAGGCTAGAGTGCAGTGGTGTGATCTCGTTTCACTGCAACCTCCGCCTCCCGAGTTCAAGTGATTCTCCTGCCTCAGCCTCTTGAGTAGCTGGGATTACAGGCGCCTGCCACCGCACCCGGCTAATTTTTGTATTTTTAGTAGAGACAGGGTTTCACCATGTTGGCCAGGCTGGTCTAGAACTCCTGACCTCAGGTGATCCACCCGCCTTAGCCTCCCAAAGTGCTGGGATTACAGGTATGAGCCACTGCCCCCGGCCATCAACTCTTTTTTCCTGGAATAAATCCCACTTTTCCAGGGTGAATAATTCTTTTTACATGTTACTGGATTTGGCGTGTAGTATTTTGCAACTTAAGAATTTTTGCATTAGTGTTTATAAGATAGATTTTTAGACGTTTCGTTATGGCCTTATCTGATTTTGATGTCAGGGTAATAGTGGTTTCGTAGAGTGAGTTGAGACTGGCTGCTTCTCTTCCATATTTTTGGAAGAGTTTGTGAACAAATGATATTAATTTATCTTTAAATGATTATAAAATTTCACCAGTGAAGCTATCTAGACCTTGTTTTATTTGTACAGGAGCTTTCAAATTACTAATATAATTGGTTTACTACTTGTGCATCTATTCAGAGTCTATATTTCTTTTAAAGTAAGGTTTAGTAGTTTGTGTCTATTTGTGAATTTCTCCATTTCATCTAAGTTATCTAATTATTGACATATATTTGTTCATACTACTTTGTTTTTTTGTCTATTTTATTATTTATTTTGTTTTTATCTGTCTATTTTATTTATTATTAATGAATACTGAAAAAGTATTAGTCTTGCACATAGTGCCAGTTTCATATCATCTAAATCAGAATCCCAAATTTGAAACCTAAGGCATAATCCATTAGGATTTAAGGATAGCATATTTACCAAATTTTAATTATAAAATATGGGTGGTATTGGGAGACCTCCCGTGTTAACTCATGAACTTGGAACTAGTCTCAGCAGAGTTATCACCACCCATAAGCCTGAAGGTTTGGTGGAGATTGAAGTTACTGGAATTGTATACTAAGACAAAATATTTTTCTTCTTGAAAGCTTTTTTGTTGATCTGCCCATCATAGAAATCAACAAAATCTTTTTGAACTGAAAAATTTTAAATAATTTTCTGTGAACATGGACAATAAGTAGCATGGTGGAACCCTGTCTCTCCTAAAAAAAGAATGCTTTCCATTTCTCTAAGATCAGTAGTGATGGCTTCTTAATTTCAGTGATTGAAGTTTTCTTTGTTTTTTAAAAATCTGTGTAGCTAAAGATTTGCTGATTTTTTTCTTTTCATAGAACTTTTTGGTTTTATATTTTGCATTGTTTTTCTCTTGTCTATGACATTGATTTCCACTCTAATCTTTACCATTTCCTCCCTTCTGCTGATTTTAGTTTCAATTTGTCCTTTCAGTGTGTTGAAGTAGAAGAGTCCATTATTGATGTGAGATCTATCTTCTTTTTAAATATAGGTTTATAGCTCTAAATTTCACTACAGTCACTTAACTGCATTCCATATGTTTTGGTGTGATGTGTTTTATTTTCATTTATCTTAAAGCAATTTAATGTGATTTACCTTGTGATTTCTTCGTTGACCCATTGGTTATTTAGAAATGTATTATTTACTTTTCATGTATTTTTGATCTCTGAAAATTCAAACCACTCCTTAGTGAGTGGTAATTACATTTTATTTTGAGTGAAGAACATATTTCATATTAATTCAATGCCTTTAATTTTACTGAGGCTTTTCTATGGCCTAGCATATGGCCTACACTGGAGAATATTCCATGTGTACTTGAGAAGCATATGTGTTCTGTTTTTTTTGTTTGTATGTTTGTTTATTTGTTTTGATTGTATGCTCAATTCATGCCTGTTTCAGGCCTTTTATTTTCTTGTTCATCTTTTGTCTAGTTGTCCTATCCACTACCTAGAGTGGAGTATGAAGTCTTTATTATTGTTGAATTGTCTATATCTCCCTTTAGTTTTACTTCATAGTTGGGAGTCTATTGTTAGGTGCATATTTTTAGAATTGTTATATATTCTTGATGGATTGAATCTTTTTATCAATATAGAATGTGTTTCTTTAGTAATTATTTAAACATCCATTTTGTCTAATGTTAATTTAGCCACACCATCCCTGTTATGGTTGCAGTTTACATAATGTATATTTTCCATCCATTTATCTTCAACTCATTTGTTTCTTTGAACCTAAAGTGTGTCTCCTGAGGACACCAAATAGGTAAATGTTATTTTTTTTACTACGATCTGACAATCTCTGCATTTTGACTGAACTGATTAATCCATTATTATTTAATGTTATTATTGTACAGTTAGATTTACCTCTGCTGTTTTCTTTCTGTATATGTTTCATGTCTATTCCATCTTTATTTCTTTTTATTAATTAATAGACTATTTCATTTTAATACTTTTAATAATTTTTTTACTGTGGGTTTTTTTGGTTATTTTATTAGAGATTTCTCTAGGGCTTACTATATGTATGTGTGTGTCTATGTATATATAGACACACACACATATATACATATATACACACATATATATTATATTAGATATTATATATATATATTAGAACCTACTTCAGACTTATACTAACTTAATTCCAATGAGATAGAAACTTTCCTCATACGTGCTGTATATATAACCTCCTCCCTTTTCTGTGCTATTTTATACATTTTACTTCTGCACACATATATAATACGTATGCGATACACTGATTTCATATAATTGTATGCCTTTTAAAGAAGCTAGGGAAAAAAGAAGAACATGTATGTATTTTCAGTATATATTTATAGGTTTATATTAGCCATATCATTGTTTCTGGTTCTCTTTATTTGTTTCTTTGGATTCAAGTTACTATCTGGAGTTATTTGTTTTTCTCCACGGAACATTGCTTACAAATGACCCTTTCTTATGGCGTTGTCAAACATATTGTATTTCTATATGCAAAAGTGTCAACAATGCAAGTATAGATATATATTTTATACATTTGCTTTTTTAATCAAGTAAGGGAAGTAAAGTAGAAATATGCAGTTATACATTTCTCTATAATTACCCATATAAGTACCTTTACTGGCACTCTTGGTTTTTTTTGTGGCTTCAAATTACTCTCTGGGGTAACCTTCTCTCAACCTGAGGATCTTTCTTTAGTAGTATCTGGTAAAGTGGCTCTGACAGCAAATAAATTCTCTCAGGTTTTTGTTTTTGCTTGGTTGGGATTTTGTGTGTGTGTGTGTGTGCATCTGTAAATGTCTGTATTTCAGCTACTTTCCTCTGAATATAGAATTCTTTGTTGGCAGACTTTTTCTTTCAGCTCTTTGCATATATTATTACCTGTCTTTGGTTTCCAGGGTTTCTGATGAGAAGTTGGTTTTTATTATCATCAGGGGTCCTTATAATGTGATGAGTCATTTTCCTTTTACTACTTTCAAAACCCTGTCTTTGTGTTTCAGAGATTTTATTATGATGTGTCTGGGTTTAATTCTCTTTGCATTTATCCTACTTGGAGTTTGTTTGGCTTTTTGGATGTGTAGACTATTTTTTTTTATCACATATGAGAAATTCCCAGCCATTATTTCTTCAACTATTTGTTTATGTTACTTTCTGGTACTCCTATTATGCATATTTTGGTGTGCTTAATGATGTTCCATATTTCTCTGAGTCTCTGCTCATTTTTCTCCATTGTTTTTTTTCCGTTCTTCAGAATGTATCATTTTTATTGAACTATTCTAAAGCTGACTGTTTCTTTTGCCAGCTTAAATCTACTGTTGAGCTCCTCTAGTGAATAAATTGTTTTATCCACTCTAACAATCTCTGTGTTTTAATAGGTGTTTTTAGACTATTCACATTTTAAATGTTATAAAAATGTTATACAGTCATTGAAATGGATTATTATCTACCACTTTTATCACTGTTTTATATTCACTGCATTTGTTAATCATTACTTTTTCCCACATTTTGTCTGTCTTTTGGATCTTAATTGAGCATCTTATGTGACTAGTGTATCTACTCTCTTATTAAAAGTGCCTTAAACTTTTTTTCATATTTAGCTTAGACTGTGCAATATACATTTTTCAAAACATGTTATTTGTTAAAAACAGTTTAGGTCAATATCAAAATTGAGAGGAAGGTAACAACATTTTCCCATATAATCCTAGCCTTCACACATGCATTGCCTCCATATAACCAAAATCCACCATTAGGGTGGTACATTCGTTATAATTGATGAGCCTATATTGATGTGTCATTATCAGCCAGAGTCCAAGGTTTACATTAGTGTTCACTCTTGCTGCTGTACGTTCTATGAGTTTGGACAAAGTGTAATGACATATGTCCATCATTATAATATAATATAGAGTATTTTCACTGCCCTAAAAATCCTGTGTTCTGCCTTTTCAGCCCTCCCTCACCCAACCCTGAGCAACCACTGATCTTTTAACTTTAGCCATAGTTTTGTCTTTTTCTGAATGTCATGTAGCAAACTCACATAGTATGTAGCCCTTTAGGTGATCTTATTGCACTTAGTGCTAGACATTCAAGTTTCTGCTATGTCTTTTCATGGCTTGATAGCCCTTTTTTTTTTTTTAGCACTGAATAATGTTCCATTGTCTACATCTACCACAGTTTATTCAGTCACTTTTTGAAGGACATGTTGGTTGCTCCCAAGTTTGGAAAATTATGAATAAAACTGCAGTAAAAATCTGTGTACAGGTTTTTGTTTAGATGTCAATTTTATTTAATTTTTAAAAATTTTTGTGAGACACAGTCTCACCCTGTCTCCCAGGCTACAGTGCAGTGGTGTGATCTCAGCTCACTGCAACCTCTGCCTCCTGAGTTCGAGCGGATTCTCCTGCCTCAGCCTCCTGAGTAGCTTGGATTACAGGCACCTGTCACTAGGCCTGGCTAATTTTTTTTTTTTTTTTTTTTGAAGGAGAGACAGGGTTCCACCATGTTGGTCAGGCTGGTCTCAGATCTCAAACTCCTGATCTCAAATGATCCGCCCACCTCGGCCTCCAAAGTGCTGAGATTACAGGAGTGAGCCACCGTGCCCAGTTGGACATCAATTTTAAACTCTTTTGGGTGAATACCAAGGAGTGCAATTGCTGTACTATATGGTAAAAACAAATACAGCTGGAAAAAAAAATCTGTCACACTGTCTTCCATAGTGGCTGCATCATTTTGTATTCCCACTAGCAATAAATGAACATTTTTGTTGCTCCACATTGTAACCAGTATTTGGTGTTACCAGTGATCCAGATTGTGGTCATGCTACTAGGTGTATAGAAGTATCTAATTTCTATTCTAATTTGCATTTCCCTTATAACATATGTAGAAATTTTTTAAATATACTTACATGCCATCTCTATGTCTTCTTTGAGGAATTGTCTGTTAAGATATGTAGCCTATTTTTTATTGGGTTACTTCTGAGATCCCTATTCTGGGCTATTCATCTATCTATTCAAATATCTCACTGTTCTGATTACTGCACTTTCTTAAAAAGTCTTAGAATCAGGTAGTGTCAGTCCTCCAACTTTGTTCTTTAATATTGTCTTGTCAATTCTGTGTCTTTTGCCTTTCCATATCAATTTTATAGTTTGTTGATATTGAAAAAAATAACTTGTTAGGATTTTGAATGGAATTGCATTGAATCTACAGAATCTACAGATCACATTGGGAAGAACTGATATCTTGACAATATTGATTCTTCTTTTTGATAAACACGAAATATCTCTCCATTTATTTAGTTTTCCTTTGGCTTTATTCAATACAGTTTTGTGGTTTTCTGCCTATAGATCCTGTACACATTTTATTAGATTTATAACCAAGTATTTCATTTTTTTGGGTTCTCATGTAAGTAATATTGTGTTTCTAATTTCAAATTGTCCATTTTCATTGCTGCTGTACAGGAAAGCAATTGACTTCTGCATACAATCTTGTATCCTGCAGCCTTACTGTAATTCCTTAATAGCTCCAGGAGGTTTTCTGTCAGCTCTTTCAGATTTTCTACAAAGATGATCATGATGATGTCATCTGTAAACAATGAGGTTTTATTTCTTCCTTCCCAATATGAATATATTTTATTTCCTTTACTTTTTTATTGCATTAGCATGAACTTTAGTATGATGAAGAAGAGCAATGGTGAGAGGAGACATCCTTGCCTTATTCTTGATCTTAGCAGGAAAGCTTCTACTTTTCATCATTAAAGATGATGTTAGTTACAGGGTTTTGCAGACATTGTTTATCACGTTGTGGAAATCCCCTCTTACTTGCTTACTGGGAGTTTTATTATAAATGAATATTGGATTTTGTCAAATTCTTTTTCTCCATGGTATAATTGATTTAGGTATGTGATATAGTTATGTGATTTTTGATATAGTTATGTGATTTTTCTTCATTAGCCTGTTTGTACACTGATAGATTTAAGTTGCTAATATTTCACTGAAGATTTTTAAACCTATTTTGATGAGAGATATCAGTCTGTCATTTTCTTTTTTTGTGATGTGTTTATGTGTTTGAGGTATTTTGGTAATGCTGGCTTACTAGAAGGAGTTAGTCTCTGTTTTTATCTTCTAGAAGAGATTGTAGAAAATTTCTTTTCTAAAGGTTTTGTAGAATTCATAGTGAATCCATTCAGGCCTCGTGCTTTCTGTTTTGGAAGATTATTAATTGTTGATTCCATTAATTTAATAGATATGGGCCTATTTAGATTATTTATTTATTTTTGTGTGAGTTTTCACTGATTGCAAGGATTTGATCCATTTTATATAACTTATCAAATCTGTGGGCCTAGAGATGTTCCCAGTACCTTTTATTATCCTCTTAATGTCCACGAGGTCTTTAGTTATGTCCTCACTTTCATTTCTGATATTAATAATTTGTGTCTTCTGTGGTTTTTTTTGTTGTTGTTATCTGGACTTGAGGCTTGTTGGTTTTATTGATTTTTATTAATAATTTCAAATAAATAGTTTTTTGTTTTGATTTCCTGTATTGATTTTCTGTTTTCAATTGTATTTATACTCTACTTGTTATTATTTATTTTCTGCTTACATTGGATTTTATTTGCTCTTCTTCTAGTTTCCTAAAGTAAAAGCTTAAATGACTATTTTTAGATCTTTCTTCTTTTCTAATATATGCATTCAATGTTATAAATTTCTCTCTAAGCACTAATTTTACTGCATTCCCCAAAAGTTATATTTTTGTTTTTTCTTAGATCAAAGTTTTTAAAAATCTTGAGATTTCTTCTTTGATCCATGTGTTATTTAGAAGTGTGTTGTTTAATCTTCAGTATTTTAGAACTTTTGATCTCTTTTTTGTTATTAAATTTTAGTATAATTTTATTGTGGTCTGAGAACAGATGTTGTATAATTCCTATTCTTAAAATGTTAAAGTATGTCTTATGTTTAGAATGTGGTCTGTCTTGGTAAATGTTCCATGCGAGCTTGAGAAGACATATTCTTCTGTTGTTGGATAGTATTTTAAATCTAGTTGTTTATGAGTGCTATTGAATTCAATCATGTCCTTAACAGGTTTTCTGCCTGCTGAATCTGTCTACGTCTGTTAGAAGGGTGCTGAAATCTGCAACAACAATAGTGGATTTATTTATTTCTCTTTGCTGTTCTATCAGTTTTTGCCTTATATATTTTGATGCTCTGTTGTTAAGTGCATATACATTAAGGATTATTATGTCTTTTTGGAGAACTGACTCCTTTATCATTATTATGCACCACTTAATCTGATAAATTTCCTTACTTTGATTATTTTCTGTTTAGAATGTTTATAGTTACTTTCACTTTCTTTTGATCAGTGGTTGCATGATGTATAATTCTCCATCCATTTGCCTTTAATTTACATGTGTCTTCATATTTAAAGTGGGCTTCTTGTAGACAATAAGCAGTTAGGTTAGGTCTTTTTTCTTTTTTTTTTTTTTGAGACAGAGTCTCGCTCTGTCACCCAAGATGGAGTGCAGTGGCGCGATCTTGGCTCACTGAAAGCTCTGCTGCCCAGGTTCACGCCATTCTCCTGCCTCAGCCTCTGGAGTAGCTAGGACTACAGGCACCCACCACCACCCCAGCTAAATTTTTACATTTTTAGTAGAGACGGGGTTTCACTGTGTTAGCCAGGATGGTCTCGATCTCCTGACCTCATGATCTGCACGCTTTGGCCTCCCAAAGTGGTTAGGTCTTTTTTTTTTTTTTTTTTTTTTGATGGAGTCTTGCTCTGTTGCCCAGGCTGGAGTGCAATGGTGCAATCTCGGCTAACTGTAAGCTCCACCTCCTGGGTTGACCCCATTCTCCTGCTTCAGCCTCCCCAGTAGCTGGGACTACAGGTGCCTGCCACCACGCCTGGCTAATTTTTGTATTTTTAGTAGAGACGGGATTTCACCTTGTTAGCCAGGATGGTCTCCATCTCCTGGCCTCGTGATCCACCCGCCTCAGCCTCCCAAAGTGCTGGGATTATAGGCGTGAGCCACCATGCCTGGCCAGGTCTTTTTTTTAATTCACTGTGACAATCTTTCTTTCAACTGGTGAATTTAGACATTTTATTTGCAAAATTATTATTGTATGAGTGTATCGACAATGATCAATTTGTATCAGTGTATCGACAATGTAGTTGGATTAATATCTACCATATTTATTATTATTTTTTGTATATTGGCTTTGTTCATTGTTCTTACCTTTGTCTTCCCTCTTTTTCTACCTTTTGTTGTTTATTTGAGCATTTTACATATTTTTTCTCTATTTCTTAGTGTATAGTCATACTTTTTTTCTATTTTCCTTTTTTTTTGTAGTTGCACTAGAGTTAACAATATACAACTAAGTCCACTGTCAACTAAAACTGTCTTGCATCTTATAATAAAGAATATGTAAGAATTTTCCTGTGATTGTTATCCTTGTTTCTCTAGGTAAGGTAATTTTTTTCTTTTTTTTAACATTCTTTTTTTTTAAAGTTTGAATATGATATGCTGGTTTTTGCAGCTATAATTTTTTTATTAGTACTGCTTTTGCTGCATTGCATAAGTTTTTGTATGTTGTGATTTCATTTACATTTGTTTCAAGATATACTAAGTTTTCCTTGTGGTTTCTTCTCTGAACTATTGGTTTTTAAAGAGTATGTGGTTTAATTTCTGGATTTTCTAGTTTTCCTTCTGCTATTGATTTCTGGTTTCACTCCATTGAGATCAGAAAAGATGCTGTGTGAATTCAAGTGTTTTCGAAATTTATTAAGACTTATTTGTGACTAATATATGGCCTATCCCGTAAAATGTTCAATGTACTTTTGAAAAAAATGTATAATCTGTCATTGTTGGTTGGAGTGTTCTGTATAACTTTATTGTTCTTTGTCTGATTGTTTAAAGTGGGGTATTGAAGTGGGGTATTAAATGTTTTATAATTACTTGTACTGTTATTTTCCAGCTGTCTATTTCTTCCTTCCATGTTGTCAATGTTTGTTTCATATAGTTAGAAGCTCAGTGGTTGTCACATAGATTAATATTTTATCATTGTTATATCTTCGTGGTAAATTCACTTTTTGTCTTATACAATGTATCTGGCAACCATGTTTAACTGAAAGCCCACTTTATATAATATTTATAGTATTAGTATAGCCACCCTGCTTTTTTTTGGTAACTATTTGCATAGAATATCTTTTTCTATCCTTTCACTTTTAACCTATGTGTGTTCTTATATCTAAAGTGAGTCTTTGGTAGACAGCATATAGTTGTATCCTTTAAAAAATGTATTTTTCCAATCCATGTCTTTTGACTGGAAAGTTTAATCCATTTGCATTTAAAGAAATTACTGGTGGGGATGGACTTACTATTGCCATTTTGTTATTTCTTTTCTCCTTGTCTTATAGCTTCTCCTCCTCCATTTCCTCCCTTACTGCCTTCCTTTGAGTTTAGTTGATTTCTTTGTAGAGACCTTTTTCGATTACCCAATCAGTTTATTTTTGTTATTCTATAGATATTTTCAATGTGGTTATTATGGGAATTACATTAAAAAAATCCTGAAGTTATAACAATTTCTTTTATATTGATACTAATTTAGCTTCAGTTCCATACAGGAACTCTACTTCTTTACAGTTCAATCTCCCTTTATTTTATTGGTGTCACAATTACATGTTTATGTTTTATGTCCCCATAAACATAAATTTATACTATGTAATGCCTTTTAACTCCTGTAGGAAATTTCAAAATGGAGTGACAAACTAAATTACACTGACTGTTCTTGCCTCGATGGGTTGATAGCAGCAACATTTGTTTGAGAGATAGCTATCCCTGTACCTCAGAAAATGGTCAAAAAAAAAATGGTTATTTCATGGAAAAGTAGAAATTAAAGGTTTTGAAACAAGATAAGGCAGAAGTTGTAGAAGATTGTAGAGTTGATAGCTATAACATGGAACCTGTAAGTATACTTGAGAGAAGAAAATATTTAGGGTATATTTTGAAGGCCTATTATAAAAATAAAGCAACCCTTTGATTTAGAAATATGGAATTAGACTCATTTCTATTTTTATTGTTTAACCATATACAATATGATATTGTTTTTAATAGTCTAAACATTTTTCAGATCTTATATATAACTTTATTATGTGGATATCTAGTATTAATCTGTTAGTATATAATGTCAGCTATTAAAATATTTTGCAAATGTCTGTTATTATTGTTAGTTATTATACAATACAAATGGCTCAATGGCATTGAAAGTAAAAGGTCTTAGGCCACATAAAAATGTATCACTAAGTGATTAAATATATAACAAAAGCAGGATGCATTGAAGCATTTCACATTCAACAAGTCTAAAGGTAATAATTCCAATCAAAGATGAAATGAAAAAGTTTTCTGATGAAAAAAAATTACTGGTTCATATTTTTGTTGTACCCTTATAGACTCTTAGATGGAAACATGTTTTTCTCTCTGCTACATTACAGACATAAACAAAATAAACTTAAATATTAATAAGGAAATATGAAATATGATATAAATGTAAGAATGGGAAATAACTTGTATATCAGAAAATTACAACCAGAAATAGAGTTTTCTGAATTTCTAGTTCAAGAGATAAAATCAGAAAATATTTAGCTATGCACTCTAATTTCTACAAATTAGAAAATGTTTAGCTATGTTTAATTTAATCTAATTAACATGAGATATAATATGTACACACGGGTATGTGCATACATACCTCTTGAGAAATGGGAGAAGGGTGGTTTTTCATCATTAGAGAAGATATCTTACAATTATATGAAAAAAAGCATAGGCTAATACTATAAAATAAACAAGGATAGAGGAAGCCAGACCCAGCACATACTCCAGAGGAAGGCTGTAGGTGATGTGGGACAGTGTTTTCTAGCTGCAGAGAGGTTCCAAACTCTGTGTCCACAAGTCCAGAAAACAGCAAGTACCACAAGTAAGCAGCTACAGAGATTAATCAAGGGAATATACACGGAACAATTTGGTCAAACCTCCTTTTCCAAGTTCTTTCCCAGCCCTTCAGCCTCCTACACAAAGAAATTAGAATCTGTGGTATTTGCACTTCATCCAAAACCAGATATTTTTCTTAAGTAGATGATCTTCCTTGGGAGATTTAGAACTCCCAGAAGTTGTATGTGACAGAAGATCTGTCACATACAAGAAAGCATTTCTTATTTCAGCGTGTTGTAGAGTCATCTGCTTGTCTATTCCTGGTCATGATATCCCCAAGTAAGTTTGTCAAGACAATGAGCACTCTAGAATATATTCCCCCTTATACAATTTTCAAATCTAAAATACAGAGAAAGTGATAAAGATTTTTTTCTTTTTCGGAATGACATAACAGATTGTCAACAAAGAACCAGATTGATGTTTGACTACTCATCAGTAAAAATTACCGCAAGATGGTGGGTCAATGACATCACAATTCTCAGGGAATGTTATTTTAAACTACATTTTACACTAAATGCCAGACTATTTAAGTATTTAGAAAAATAGGTTTTATGTCATGAAGGGAGTTAACTCCTAATAAACTCTTTCTGAAGTCTACTACGTATCTTACACCAAAACAAAGCAAAGTTAAAATCAAAAGAAAAAAATTTGATGATGGACTTCAAGAAACAAAAAAGTGAAATCCAAGAAAGAAACAGCATAAGATCCAAGAAAAAGTGGGAAGAAAAGGGAGGAAGGAGCTGACCTAGAAAACAATTCAGACATCTAGAACGGGAAGACCAGAGGAATCAATTCAGTTCCAGAAGACAATTGATGTACAGTAAGAATAATGTAACTGATTAATTTGACAAATATTGAGAGATTATTGTAACAAGCACTGCTCTTGGTTTTGGGGACAGAGCAGTGAACAGGCAGAAAAGACATTGGCTCCTTTGAAAGTATTTTAAGTATGGCATTTTTTTTGACACCCACTCCAACTGGTTTATTGCAATTCAGTTCTGGCGCTAGCCTCCCAAAATTAGCACAGATGCCACAAGTTAAAAGACACAGTCCTCAACAAGTCTTTCCTTAATTTAGATGCCATCCACAAATGAAGTCCCCAAACCACCCACTCATCTGACCAATTGGCTACAAATCCAGGGGGTTCCCATGATCCTCTTCAAGTTAGATAATTCACTAAAATGACTCACAGAACTCAGGAAAGTGCTACATTTATTATTACAGTTTTATTATAGAAAATACAAAGTCAAGAATGGCCAAAGAGATATACATAGGGTGAGATCTGGGAGGGTTCCAAACGCAGAGCTGCATGACCTCTCCCTGTGGAATCTGGGTATGTTACCCCCCGGTACATCAATGTATTCATCAACCAGGAAGCTCCACCAAGCTTTGGTGCCCAGAAGTTTTATTGGTATCTCATTGCCTATTTCTCAACCATATCACATAGGGAAAGTTTAACTCATAATTAATATCCAAATACAATGTTACTTTTACTCTGAAAACTTTTACATAGGCATCCAGTCATTTAAGATTTTTCTTCCCCTAAAGAATTTATTATAGTGGATGCTGTGTTGTGCTTCCCAGACCCTTACTTTAAGGTTGAGCTACTCATTTCCTTAGATGGTTGCAGTGTTCCCTGCTGACAGCAACAAATACTTCCCTTTAAGAGAATTGTCCTCTGCTTTAGGTTGCTGTCTTGCTCAAGGTTAAAGAGTTTCTCTGAAACAACCATCATCCAATGACTGGCGATGTTTCAATAAAATGTCTTGGACCTTTGATTTAATTAGGAACAATTTTAAAGGGACAGCCCTGCTCCAATTATCTTGGAGGGATCAGCTAACATCTCTGTTGCAACTATAGTCATGCATCACTTAACGATGGGGATACATATGTTCTGAGAAATTTATAATTAGGCAATTTCATAATTGTGTAAACATCAGCGAGTGTACTTATACAAACCTAGATACATAGCCTACTACACACCTAGACTATATGGTATGGCCTGTTGCACCGAGGCTACATCTTTTACAGAATATTGCTGTACTGAATACTGCAGGCAATTTTAACATAGTATCTAAACATAGAAATGGTACAGTAAAAATACAATATAAAATATTTTTCAAAATAGCACACCTGTATAGGGAATTTACCAATAATAGAGCTTGCTGAACAAAGTTACTTTGGATGACATAGTGAGAGAGTGGTAAGTGAATGTGAAGGCCTAGGAGATTACTGCACACAAACACTACACACTTAGGCTATGCTAAATTTATTAAAATATTTTTCTTTAATAATACATTAGCTTTCACTTACTGTTTTTACTTTATAAAGCTTTTAATTTCTTAAACTTTTTGAGTTTTTTGTAATAGCACTTAGCTTAAAACCCAAATTGTACAGCCATACAAAAATATTTTCTTTCTTTATACTCTTATTCTACAAGTTTTTTTTCTATTTGTAATTTTCTTAAAATTTTTACTTAAAAATTTTTTTTTAAAAGCTAAGACACAAATACACACATTAGCTTAGGCCTGTAAAGGGTCTGGATCTTCAATAGCACAGTCTTCTACCTTTTTACATCTTGTCCCATTGGAAGGTCTTCGTGGGCAACAACACACGTGGAGCTGTCATCTCCTGTGAAACAATGCATTCATAGTAGCTACCAATAGACATCCCCTTCTCTAGTCCTTATATTGACTACTTATCCTGTAGTTCTCAAATGACTGAGATATTGCATCAACCAATGCAATCTCTTTAATAAATAACTCAACCTAATTTACCACCAGATACATTTTAACAATTGTCTTGCTTCAGTTATGGTAGAGACTATCAGTATTCTACCTACCAGAAACCCTGGGGTTTGCTGGAAAGAGATGTTTTAGGTTGATATATTTATAAACAGATCTTGAAGTGCAGATTTTTGTGCAGGAAGATTATTAGGGAGTACACTCAAGAACAATCCTTGTGTGAAAGAAAAAATGAACACAGAGAGAAATTGAACTGTAACATAAAATCTTGTGTCACATTATAACATTTTGGTCAACAATAAACCACATATAGGATGGTGGTCCCTTAAGATTATAATGAAACTAAAAAATTCCTATCATCTAGAGGTGTCCTAGCCATTATAGTGTCATAGTACATTGCATTACTTACGAGTTTGTGGTGATGCTGGTGTAAACAAACCCACTGTGCTGACAGTCATATAAAAAGTATAGCACATACAATTATGTACAGTACATAATACTTGGTAATGATAAGTGATGCTACTGGTTTATGTATGTACTATACTATACATTTTATTCTTATTTTAGGGTATACTCCTACTTGTTAAAAAAATGTTAACTGTGAAACAACTTCATGATGGTCCCTCAGAAGTTATCCGAAAGAAGGCATTTGTTTCTTTCCATTTATCAAACTTCATAAATTGATGAATCTTCAGTTTGCTGATTCTTTCTTCTACAAACTCATATCTGCTGCTGATTTTCTCTAGTGAATTTTTAAATTTCAGTTATTGTACTTTTCAACACCAGAATTTCTATTTGGTTTGTTTTTACAATTCTTTATTTTTATTTATACAGTTATGTGTCACTTAATGATAGGGATACATTCTGAAAAATGTATTGTTAGGTAATTTCATCATTGTGCAAACATCATAGAGTGTATTTACACAAACTTACATGGCATAGCCTACTACATACTTAGGCTATATGGTATAGCTTATTGCTCCTAGGGTACAAACCTATACAGTAGGTTACCATACTGAATACTTCAGGAAATTTTAACACAATGGTGAGTCTATTTTGAGACATAGAAACGTACTGTTACAATGTGGTATTATATTCTTATGAGGCCACCATTGTATATGTAGTCTATCATTAACTGAAACTTCGATATGCAGCAGCACATGACTGTATTCTCTATTTGGTGAGACATTCTTCTCATGCTTTCCTTTAGTTTTTGGAAATTTTTTTTAGATTTTTAAGTATATTTAAAATAGCTGATTTTAATTATTTGTCTAGCCAGTCCAGTGTCTCTGCTTCCGCAGGGACAGTCTCTATTGACTGCTTTATTTTTGTGCAGAGCTTCAAGATCAGTCAAAGGTGAGTGGTTGAGGCATTTGAGTGACTCACATGCATTCATGTCACCACCCTAGGCAAGTGTGTGGCCTTCTGTATTCCCGGGAATATGCTCAATATTTTCCAAGCTTTTACTCGACAAAGCATTTCATTCATCAGTTCTTCCTCCCAAGCTGATTGGTTAGTCTGTAGCCTGCACCAGGTGCTATCTATTGCCTCAGACATTAGTAACTAAAACATTTGTCTGTACAAACTTTTGATAAATGCCTCTCAGGTAGCAGCTTTAGCACTGGGTGAGTTGTGAGTTAGTAGACATAAAGGTAAGTGTTTGACCCAGTCTTATAGGGTGCCACCAGACAGATAATTAATAATACAGTAAGTACAATTCTTTGTAAATCATGTAAACTTTGTTTCCTCCAACACCAGAAGTGTGGGCTATTATTTTCAAAGTATGGGTGAACTGGGCTGAGTAGGTAGGCAGGGAGTGAGGCTAGAGTTAAGTTAAAATGCCACAAAACTTGCTACTTTTAGTGAAATTCAGTTAATTTTCTTGAATAAACACTCTACTGGCTGTTAGCAGCTTGTGTTAGTTTCCAGATTTCTGTAAAGTTGGTCTTAACAGTGTTTGCCACTTTTTCATTGCTTTTATGAATGAGAAGTTGGTGTTTCTTACTCTACCATTTTTTATTGATGTTTTTATAAGCATTTTTACTGTAGGTTCTACAGTTAAACGGAATACACAATGTCCACAAGGCAATGAATATTGAACTATTTTCTGAAAAAAAAAAACAGCATCATGACTTATTTGCATTTTTAAACAATATACACTTGTAAAATTAGACAATAAAATTTGAATAGGCAAAGAAAGATGAAGTGGTTTATATAGTTTATATTATAATGAGGGTGTTGTATTTCACAATAGTGTGGTTTACACAGTTGTGTATATTGGAATGAGGATGTTGTAAAGAGGGTGATGAACAATGTATTGTCTGAGATTTTCGTCAAAGACATTTGCCTTTTATGGCACATATATCAGTAAGGACACTGAAGAACAGATAGTTCCATAGGACATTTATGTTAGGCTTTTATGGTTTTTAAAAATGTTATCTGATTAACATTTGGAATTAATTGTACATTGATATTGATTCAAAAATATAATCTGTCTGTTTAAAATGATAAATTCAAGGCCATGTTTCAAAGAACAATGTTGGGAAGAATAATACCTTGTAGAAAAATAAATAAATACAATGTTAATCCTTATGTTTAATGCTTCCATTCATCAAGGAGTTAGGTTAGGCTTGAGAAAAGCATGTCTAAAAGAAAGAGCTTTTTAGCCATCAGTAAGAACACCTTTGAAGATCCTGAATCACTGTACAAGAGGGACTCCTGGACACCAAACTTTCATTCCTCCTGTTTTACATATTTTATTCTTATAAATGAAACAACATCAGTCCAAACTCAAAGGTATGTTTTATTAATAGAACAAAAGGCTATGCCACCCCTTAGCCAGTCTGTCCTCACACGTAACCCTGCACTCTATCACAGGGAGCAATATTTTCCAAATCTTTTGCAAGTGGCCTACCATTTATGGATTAAAATTATCTCTATGTTTCCATAGTTACTATTTCAGGTGACTTTTAGAATCACATTGTCAATTTCTAACAAAATTCCACTTTGGGACTTGATTGTTGTTGAATTTATAGGTGCTTTTTTTGAAAATTGATGACTTTATAATATTAAGTATGCCATTCACATATGTGATTTATCTTCTCATTTCTTTATTTTATTTTAAGGTCTCTAGTAGAGTTTTATAATTTTATCCATTCTGTTTTTTCACATATTTCGTTTGGTACTTTGTAGTTCTTTTGTTCTCTCTTTCCTTCCCCCTCTCTCGCCACCTCTCTCTCTCTCTGCTTTTCTTAATATAACCTTCTTTCTTCCATTTTCTAAATTTATAGATAGCGATTATTATGCTTTATTATATCTGACAGATTGTAGCTCTTTTATGTTAGTTTTAATAATTTGTCAATTATTTACTTACAGTTTCTGTGAAGATAATGACATCATCTATAAAAAATTTTTGCCTCTTTCTCATTCCTATTATCCTCTCTTCCTCATTGTTTTATTTCTTTTCAACCTTCAATATGTTATTGAATGAAATAGTGACATTATGCTGGACATTCTTGTCTTATTTCTGATTTTATAGAGAAAGCATCTAAATTTTAAAACACTGTAATTTTCATTAAACCTTTCATATATATGTGTGTTATATATATATATATATATAATACACACACATATATATTTCTGATATAAACATAGTTTCTTTTTTTTTTTTTTTTTGTTTTTGGAGACAGAGTCTCACTCTATCGCCCAGGCTGGAGTGCAGTGGTGTGATCTTGGCTCACGGCAACCTCTGCCTCCCAGGTTCAAGCAATTCTCCTGCCTCAGCCTCCCGAGTAGCTGGGATTACAGGTGTGAACCACCATGCCTGGCTAATTTTTGTATTTTTAGTAGAGACGGAGTTTCACTACGTTGGCCAGGCTAGTCTCGAACTCCTGACTTCAAGTGATCTGCCCACCTTGGCCTCCCAAATTGCTGGAATTACAGGCATGAGCCACCATGTCCGGCCTATAAATACATTTTCAATCAAGATAAACACTTCTACTCTTTTGTGTTTTCAATATTATTAAACATGAATTTTAAACCATCTTTAAAATTCCACATAAATTCATTATTCATCATAATTCACAATTAAATATATACATTTTAAAATATATTTCTCACATTCACTGAAATATATTGATAGATATTGTGTTCTTGACCTATTCTTATTCTCTTAAATAAATCTTAATGGTCATAAAATTATATATTTTAATATATCTCTGTATTGAATCTGCTTATTTTTAATGTTATTGAATTTTTGCTCATAGGTGAAATTGGTCCATCATTTCTTATTCCTGTGTGTCCTTGAGCAATTTGAGCACCAGGGTTACTTGAGCTCTGGAAAAAGAATGGAATGATATCCCACAGCTGGAAAGAAGGTTCAGCGGCGCCTGCAGTGACTTTCTCCTCTGGCTCCTCGGCTGTCCTTCTCGTGAGTGGCTCTCTTGGTTGCTCTAGAGCTCCTTCTTCCTCCTATTTACAACTTGCTTGTTGAAAGCCAGTGTTTTTCTTTTCTCATAGTTTTCAACAGTCCACTGAATATGCATTTTGTTGAAATTCCTAGAATCTATTTGACACATCTATTACTTTGTTTTTCAAGGAGCCATCATAATTTCTGGTACATCATGTTTCCTCATTTTCATTTTCAAAGAGTTTTGCAGTCATGCATTCAGAATATGTTCTCCATCATTTATGAGCATTTACTTTTGAAAAGATTTTTATCACATTTAAAATAAAACTGAATCCTCAATGGGCTTCAGGGCCTTATGTCATTTGACTCTGTCTAGATTTCCAACCTCATTTCCAAATCTTTCTCCTTTTTCACTCATTCAGCTCTTCCCACACTGTCCTCTTTTCTATTTCTTAACAGCTAAACAAGGTTCATTTGAGAGCATCTGCATTGTGAATGTCTCTGCCTGGAATGTTCTTTTCCTCTATCTTTTTTATTGTCTTGCCTTAAAGGTCACCTTCTCCAAGGGTACCACCCCTAAAAAGTCTATCTAAAAAAAACCCCACTTATCATTCTCTTTTTTCCTACTGTTCAATCATTCTTTATTGGACTTATCATCAGCAAACACTCTGAAATATACATATATTAATTTTCTTAATTTCCATCTACTTTACTAAAAGGTAAGAATTAAGGCAGGACACTTGTTTGTTCTGTTCATTCATTTATGTTTGCTCTGTTCACTGTGTACCCATTCACAAGCTCAGCTACATTATGGAACCATGAAGGAGCTCAAAATAGACTACATGAATTCAGGGAAGATAGGGTGAGACAATAATAGAAGATAAAGAAATACAATGAGATAGTATATTGCATATAGCAAACACTAAATATATTTGGTAAATAAAGAAAAGAAAAGCTTTAGTTTGTGCGTAGGTTATATCTTACATCAAAATTTTTTTAATTTTAATTTTATTTTATTTCATTTTTTTTGAGATGGAGTCTCTCTCTGTCGCCCAGGCTGGAGTGCAGTGGCACGATCTTGGCTCACTGCAAGCTCCGCCTCCTGGGGGGTCACGCCATTCTCCTGCCTCAGCCTCCTGAGTAGCTGGGACTACAGGCGCCTGCCACCACGCCCGGCTAATTTTTTGTATTTTTTAGTAGAGACAGGGTTTCACCGTGTTAGCCAGGATAGTCTCAATCTCCTGACCTCATGATCCTCCCACCTCGGCCTCCCAAAGTGTTGCGATTACAGGCATGAGCCACCGCACCCGGCCTCTTACAACAAAATTTTTAAAATTCAACACTGTGACAGTTAACTCAAAGAGCAATAATTTACACTTCAAAATTATTGGGCATAGGAGGTAAAAAATACATTACTATCAAATGGCTCTGGAAGTTCAATTGTTATCTTAAATATGTAAAGTAGGAAAACTGAGAATGCATCTGTTGTCTAAAAGCATTAAAATCACTTATTAATTATACTCTTTAAACTTTCTGCTGACACCAATAGTATTTCATTTAGATTGGACCTCTACGCTGTTAGTTTGTCATACCTATTGAGCTCTTTTGTATAGCACTTCTACCATTCATACTATTGTTACCATTACTTCATTTCCTTTGCTATTACCAATCCTACTATTATTACAAATATTACTGCTACTGCTATGGCTTGTTTGGCATAATATAAAGGGCATGCAAGAAATAATCACTTTTATTATTTATTTTCTATCACTTATTCCAATTATTTTAGCGTTCATGACATAATTATATAAACAGACATAGTATAACTTATGAAGACAAATAAAGCTAGTTTATATGTGTGTAAAGTTTTTAAATGCATATAGACATGCTTATGAAATTATTACAAGCAAGATAATGACTATATCCATTACCCACAAATTATTTCTAATTTTCTGTTTTAAAAGCTCCCTCCAAAACCTCTCTCTGCCCAGGATCCCAAGGCAACCACTATTTGCTTTCTGTCATTATTGATTAGTTTGTTTTTTTCTGGAATTCTATGTAAATGATATGATACACTCTGCATTCTATTCTTCTTCTAATTTCTTTCACTTAATACGGTTAATTTGATATCCATCTATGATATCACTTTTATCAATAATTCGCTCCTTTTTATTGCTCAGTAGCGTTTCCTTTTATGGAAACACATTTTATTATGCACTAATCTCTTGATATGAATTTGATTTTATTTTGGTTTTTTGCTATTGCAAATAAAGCTGCTATGAATGTGGGAAGAAATATTTGTGCAAACATATGCTTTTATTATTCTTGGGTAATACCTAGGAATGAACTGGCTGGATCATATAGTAAATGTACATTTAACTTCGTAGAAAACTTTCACACTGGCTTTCTAGGTTATTGTATCTTTTCACTTTTCTGCCAGCAGTGTGTGAGAATTCCTGTTTTTCTGTATCTTTGCCAACCTTTGATTTTTTTTTTAGTCTCTTTAATTTTACTCATTCTAATAGGCATGTCGTGGTAGCTCACTGTAGTTTTATAAGTATTTTTTATTAACGAGTAATGATGTTGACATGTTTTCAAGTACCCATTTGACATCTGTGTGTAACTTTTGGTGACGTTTTTGTCCAAATTGCTCGTTTTAAGAATTGAATTACTTGCTTTCTTATTATCAAATCTTGAGAATTTAAAAAATATTCTGTATGTAAGTCTTTATTCAGATATGTGATTTGCAAGTATTATCTCCCAGTTATTCTTATTGCATCTTTTGAAAATTAGGTATTCTTAGCTTTGATGAAAGTCAATTTATTATTTTTTCTTTGTGTGAATGGTGAGTTGCCTAATTCAAGGTCATGAAAGTTTTCTCTTATGCATTCTAGCAATATTATAATTTTTGACTTTTTATTTAGGTCTATTCTAGACTTTTAGTTTTTTTATATATGTATATGAATATTCAATTGTTGCAGCGCTCTTTGTTGAAGAGACTATCATTTTCCCACTGTAATGCTTTGGCACATTTGTCAAAAATCAATCAATAAAACATGTGTGAGTCTATTTCTGAATTCTCTATTCTGTTTCATTGATCTATATGTCTATCCTAAAAAGTACCACGTTTTCTGATTAGTGTATCTTTATAGTACTTTGAAATTGGAAGTAAGTCCTCCAACTTAGTTCTTACAAAATTATTTAGAGTATTCTTTGTTCTTTAAAGTTTTATATAAGTTTTAGGATCTGTTTTTCCATTTCCCCAAACAACCCTTCAGAGATTTCCTCAAATATTTGTTGACTTTCATGTGGGGGTTCATCTTGGAATTTACAATTAATTCTGTGAGTGCTAACCCCATTTCAGGGTCTGTGGGAGAAATGCAAGACTTCTGCCTGGCTAGTGCCAGTACTTTGGGCATGGGAATTTCAAACGTAGGTCACTGCTCTGCTTCTCTGAACCAAGAGGACAATCTGACATCTCCTGTTTCCATGTGTCCATGGAGTAGTTGGGGTCTGGTGTCTCACATATTGTAAGCATCAACAGAAAATGTTTTACATACCTGGCTTAACTCCACCATACACTCTGTTGTTTGCCAATTTTTACCTCTATGTTTCTGTTTTAAATTTTCATGCAGTTCTTTCTGTAAGATCATTCTACAGTATTTTGGCATGTGCTGTCTGTCTTTTGGAAACTACTGATATGTTTTCATCCTTGCTTATTTTATATTTCAGTATAATCTGAAATTAATTATTAAATATTTTTCCTTTCATTTCTAGAGAGTTGAGAATGAAGAAAGAGGCTCCAGTATGTGATCAAGCTGTCATTTTGGTCTGATTCACCTACACATTATTCTTCACATTAGCACATCCATTAACATGTCAATAGAAAAATGAATGCTTTTAGTTTTACATTGGTTTTGTGTAAATGTGATCATATTCTTTTCTTTTGCTCTTCTTTTCTTGTTGTGTTTGTTCTTTGTATTTAATTGTTAACAATGAGTCTTGAAGACCATTCCATGTCGGCATATTTACATCTACATTATTTCTAACTGCTAAAGTATTCCATGTTGTGAAAATAATATCATTTACTTAACCAATGCCGCATTGCTGAACATTTACATCACTTTATTTCCTTCGCATAGTATGAACAATTTTGTAATTTGAATATGAAGTTGTACATATTTGTGTCTATGAAATAGCATTTATGTAGACTACATATTAAGAAAATGAAACAACTTGGTCAAATGTTTGTTCATTATAATTTTGGCAAATATTTCTAAATTATTTCAAAAAATATTCTACTATAGCAATTTTCTTCTTCTGGCAAGACTGTATGAGAGTATACACTATTCCATAGTCTTATCAATAGTTTTTTTAATCCATTCAAACGTAGATTTAGTGAATATTTTTATAATTCAGACACTATGCTAAGCCCTGACAATTAACTGTCAGAGAAGACAGCTATTAATCATAGTATTGCTTATAAATATAAAATTGCTATTTCAATAATAATGCAATGTAAAGACTCAAGATTCCCTAGGGCATGAATGAGGAGGAATCAATCCAATAAGAAAGGATAATTCAGGCTTTCCTAAAATTGCATATTGTCTCTACTTTTAAATTGCTAATAAGAATTATATTTTATTTTTAATTCCTATTTTTTACGTGGATCATAAGGTTAACATCCTTTCATAAATTTATAAGCTATTTCTATTTCCCACTGTGAAATGCCCACTAATATATTTAGCTGTAATTCTAATGAGCTATATGTAATTTTAATATATTTAAAATTTTTTACACTATATTTACTGTATATCAATGGCTTTTTGTAAGTTGCAAGATTTATCTTGATTAGTTTGAAATGTTTATGGTAGTTATTTTAAAAGGTTAATATTTAACAAAGCAAAATATGTCTTTTAAAGTCATCTTATATATTAGAAATATGTTTTGTTTTTCTCTAATATATTTTATTTTCATGTTTCATTTTGTCTGTTGTGTAAAATTGAGACCTAAACATGCTTTTGCCAAATATACATAATTTTTCCAAAGACTAATTGAATAATGTATTGTTTTACTACTGTATTCACTTTGCCATCTTTAAAATGGAAAATTAAACTCTCGGGATATTTTACCCATCTGAGCTCTAGTCATACTCCTCATTAAAAAAAATAAATCTTCAACTACTTGTTTTTGGAGTCTCTAGTAGTGAATTCTGCAGTAGGGAAAATTTCTAGGAATAGCCCCAAAATTCCACATCTCGAATCCCTGGAACCTGTGAATGTCATGAGATATCACTCCTGTGATTGTGTTATATTATATGCCACAATTGACCTTAAGGCATATGAGCCTAATGTAATACTACAAACCCCTTACAAGTGGAAAATTCTGACTTGTAGCAAGAGGAATGTGAAGAGGAAGGCAGAAATGGAAGACAGAAGGGGAAGACAGAAGAGAAATTTAGTGATCCTAACACAAGGAGGACTTGAGGCACCATGGCTGATTTGGAGATGGAGATGGCCATAGAAAGAATAGAGGTGGCTTACAGGGTTAGAGGGCATTCTGTGGCCAGCAACAAGTGTGGAAATCTGAACGTCAGTTCTATCATGATATGGAACTGAATTCTGTCAACAACCGAATAAGCTTGGAGGTTGATTTTCCCACTGAATGGATTCTCTAGCATTGTGAAATCCTGAGCAGAGAACCCAGTTGAGTCGCTTCGAATTCTGACTTTCAGAATTTTTAAATTGTGAGTTTTTTGTTTTGTTTTGTTTTGTTTTGTTTTAAATAAGCTTATTGAGGCATAATACACAAATAGGAATTATATATTTAAAGTGTACCATTTGATGTTTTAATATATGTACATAATATACATTGCCGAATGATCACCTCAGTCAAGCTAATTAACATATCCATCACCTCATAGTGTTACCTTCTTTATGGTGAGAATGCTTAATATCTACCCTCTAAATTTCAAGTATACCATACAGTATTGTTAACTATAGTCACCATGCTGTACAGTAGATCTCCACAATTTATTCATTTTCCTTAACTGAAAACTTTATATCCTATGACCAACATCTCCCGTTTTGTGAATAATACTACAGTGAATATGGGAGTGCAGATATTTCTTAGAGCTCCAGATTTTATTTTCTTTGGATATATACTCAGAAATGAGTATGTGTTTGTTCTGTGTTTAATTTAATTTAATCTAATAGCCATCCTAACAAATGTGAGGTGATGTATTACTGTGATTTTGATTTGCAATTCCCTGATCATTAATGTTTTCACGTACCTGTTGGCCATTTGTATATCTACTATTGAGAAATGCCTATTCATGTTCCTTGTCCATTTTTTAATTGAGTTATCTTGTTTTTGTTGTTTTGCTATTGAGTTGTTTTATTTTCTTATGTATTTTGTATATTAACCTCTTACTAGACATACAATTTGCAAAAATTTTTCTCTCATTCCATAGGTTGCCTTTTCACTCTTGATTGTTTTCTTTGCTGTGCAGAAGCTTTTTATGGATGGAGTTGTACTTGTCTGTATTTACCTTTGCAGTCTGTGCTATTGGTATAATAATAAAAAAATAGTTGACAAGATCAATATCGAGAAGGTTTTCCACACATTAATTAGTGTGTAGTAAATTATTTACCTAGAGTTAGAAAACTAATATGAGGTTGGTATTTCTAAATGATGTATTTTATTAACACCTACTCAGTTATCTATTTCAGATATTTTTGGTTAATATTCTAATATTATGATGATAAGATTTAATATATTTCTATCACTATCAACATATTGTCCTCCTTCTTCCCAATGTAGACAAGTATTAGTTTCCTTATCCCTACTGGTCAACTCTTCAAGTGGTTACAGCATGTATAGACATCCATTCTTTGTTCCGTCACTCACAGGGAGAGTGTTATTCGCTGAAAATTTTTAGTTTATCTTACTATTTTCTCTAGCTTTCTTTCATTTCTTGTTTCTCTCCTGTCATGTGTTAGGAGGTTAACATTTACTGTCTATTTTACAACCATAATTAAATCTTTTGCTTCTTTTTTGGTAGATTATAAAATTTGAAAAGCAATAAAATAGTTTATTTCTCTCTGAAACATATTTACTGCACAGCCAAGAAGTTTATTTGTATATAATTCCTTTTTTGAGGACCCAAATGCCATGATTTGTGAGTACTAAAGGAAAAATATTCCCATATTCAACTGTGAATCCATACTACTTTGCCATCTACCAGGTTCCTCTCTCTCTTTCTCTCTCGCTCCATGTATACATATATGTATTACTATGCCTCAAATTTCTCCCAAGGTCTATTTTGAATGTTCCATTAGTGCCCCTTGTTTGTGAAAAATTGTTCTCTTTTCTTCTCTGTCTGCCTGAATCAATCTGAACAGCCTGTTCTCTAAGCCTGTTGTGTAGCTATTTCTAGTTACAGACCATTTCTTAACTACTTAAATGAATAAGCTATTTTCTGCATATATATTTTCATTTGTTGTTCATCCAGATTCACTGTCCATTAATATCTATCTCATTGTGGGTCCTGGGAGACTGACTTTTGTGGACAACTTTACAAATTCCCTTGCCCTTGATCTTCCTGCTGAATTGGCCAGGAGGAGGCAGCAGCAGTAGTATTTAGCACTAGCAGGCGAATTCTTCAAGCTGGGAGGCAGGCTCAAGTGTTTCACCAACTCAGCATAGGCAAAGCTGTGACTGATAGGGCTTTACAATCCATATGGATGCACTATTTTTTTTTCTCCTAAGGAGAATTGTGCCATGATTTTGAAGTCAGAGGGAAAGTTGTGGGCTTTATTTCTGGTCACTCAATTTTGTATCTATATAAAATTTTGAAGATTGTTTAACTATATATATTATTTGTTAACCAGTGATGGGAAAATCTTCTTTGTATGGCTTCTGTAAAGAGAAAATGAGATCACACTTTAAGCATCTTTGTTGATTTCTTGGTACTGCAAATGGCCCAAAAATGTTTGCTAATGTTATTGTTTTTGATACGTGGCCTCTTATATCACAGTTTCCTTACTTGTACAATGTGGATAGCAGAAGTTTTTTATTGAGTTTGAATAATTTAAGTAACGTTTGAGGTAAGATTCAAGGTGTATTACATAAAACAATAATTAAATAAATGTATTACCCATCTGTCTCCTAAGAAGGCTGCCAAAAAAGTATCTTTCTCCAATCTACAACTACCTAAACATGATTGCTAAATATTTTCCTTATCCCTGGAATATGTTCAACTCAGCCAAAACATGAAAAAATGGTGATTAAAGGTGAGAAATAAAATTAATTTAGAGGAGCTTAGAAATGACAGCTCCACTACATTGTTACTGCTTTTCTCACCCTGCTGTGAAACGAACACCAGAACTGACTCTTCTTGTCCCACTGTAACTTTGTACACATTGACCAACTTCTCCCATTCTCCTCTAACCACTATTTTCCCCAGCCTCTCAAAACCACTATTCTACTCTCTATTTCTATGAAATCCACTTTTTAAGATTTTTTATATTAGTGAGATCATGAGGTGTTTTGTTCTTCTTTGCCTGGTTTATTTCACTTTACATAATATCCTCCAGATTCATCCATGTTGCCACAAATAACAGGATTTCATTCTGTGTTATGGCTGAATAATATTCCATTGTGTGTATATACACATTTTCTTCATCCATTCATCTGTAGACGGGCATTTAGGTTGATCCGTATCTTGGCTATTGTGAATAGTGCTACAATAAACATGGGAGTAGAGATATCTCTTCAACATACTGATACAATTTTTTTGGCTATATACCCAGTCATGAGATTGCTGGATTATATGGTAGTTTTATTTTTAATTGTTTGAGAAAGCTTCTTACTGTTTTTCAAAGTAGCTGTACTAATTTACATTCCTACCAACAGTGTATGAAGGTTTCCTTTTCCACATCATCTCCAGCATTTTTTTTGGGTCTTTTTCGATAATAGCCATTCTAACTGGGGTGAGGTGATAGCTCACTGTACTTTAGACTGGTATTTTCCTGCAAATATAATGTAGTGTATATTTCAAGTAGCTAGAAGAGAAAATTTTGTGTGTTATTACTACAAAAAAATGTTTAAAGTGATGCATATGATAATTACCCTGATTTGGTGATTATGCAATGTATACATGCATTGAAACACACTGTGCCCCACCAGTATTCACTAATATGTGCCAATTATAAATTTTAAAAATTAGTTATTTTAACTTTTTCTTGTTATTCTTTATATGCAGTCAGGAATTATTAACTTTCCCTTGCCAGCTTTCTAAACATGTGATCCAAAAGATTGATTGATTCCTACGATTCTATTACAATGAAGGTGGCAATTTTGTGGTCAATACCTTCTTCAAGCAGCCAGTGTCCAAATGTTTCACAAAGATAACATAAAGACATCACTTTTCCCCTTATGAACATTTGCAACATCACTGAAATATATCAGATATGACTTTCAATTGTGTCTGCTAGTAACCATCTCAATTAGTAATACAATTCACTTAGTATGGTAAAAAATATAATGTGAAATTGCAGATTTTGTACATGAGAAAAATTCAGGATGTTGCAGTTTATCTTTTCTTGTAAGGTACTAAGGGTTATGATGATTTTGCACAGTTAATTCTATCCATTAACCTTTCTCTCAGGCTTTGTCTTCTTACAGTGTTCTGATTTCCAGAAAACAAATTAAATCTTTGGAAGACTGACAAAATAAACATTAGTTTAATATTAAATGAACAGATACAGTGAGAGAAAATGAAAAGACAAAATAGATTTATAACTAAAATAGTTCAGGGATTTTAAAAAAGCAACATGAAGTGGGGATATTACCATGGATTAGTGCGCCAGACAACACCAGAATTAATCATAATTTTGTTAATAAAGAGTTGCATGATTTTGATTTTTAAAAACTTCTCCATATTTTTCTCATCTAGTAAAAGAAGGAAGGGAAGGATGATATATAACATCCTTTTTTAAATTATTATTATACTTTAAGTTTTAGGGTACATGTGCACAATGTGCAGGTTAGTTACATATGTATACATGTGCCATGCTGGTGTGCTGCACCCACTAACTTGTCATCTAGCATTAGGTATATCTCCCAATGCTATCCCTCCCCACTCCCTCCACCCCGCAACAGTCCCCAGAGTGTGATGTTCCCCTTCCTGTGTCCATATGTTCTCATTGTTCAATTCCCACCTATGAGTGAGAATATACGGTGTTTGGTTTTTTGTTCTTGCGCTAGTTTACTGAGAATGATGATTTCCAATTTCATCCATGTCCCTACAAAGGACATAAACTCATCATTTTTTATGGCTGCATAGTATTCCATGGAGTATACATCCTTTTTAGTTCTGACATTAATTTATTAATTTTTTTCACAAGTGTTTTTTATCATTACTATGTTCTTTGCAACCTTCCAAATACTAGAAATTTGGAAGTTATAATCCTGCTACAAAGAGGATTACAGTCTAATGAGAAAGTCAGCTAGTCAAAGAAAGTGATATAGCATGAAAACCAATTAAAATATGCACAGTGTTACATGGGAAGGACAGAAGATGATGGATTAGGAAAAGAGTAGGGAAGGGCTTCACATATAAGGCAAAATGTAAGCCCCTATTGAACAGAGAAGGAGAGAAGGCTTTTCAAGAGACAAAGCAGCAAGCTATGGTCCATGGGGCTGGGAGAGAAATGAGGCGCTTGTTAGGGCAGACCCTTAGCAGGCACTCAAAAAAAAAATCTATGTAGCAAATTCTGGAAAATACAGCCAGAATGCAAGAAAGGCAGGAAATGAGTCTGTACAGAGAGGACTAGGACTAATCATGAATCCCCCATATACCAGGCTATATATTTTTAGCTTAATCTTATGGGCAGTTGAGTAAACGTAAGTGGATTTGAGTTTCAGACATTTTACTTGGCAGTTATATGAAGTCTGTTTTGGAATCAAGTAATGCTGGATCAGATAAGAGAACATCCAAAAATTGTTAAGCAAAAATTAAAGGTATATTTTTGGGGGACTTATGTGTGGTTTCAATAACAAAACTACACAAAGTAATTGTATTAATCAATATTTTTCTCTCATGGTCATCAATTTTTCCTAGCATTATTATCCAACATGTCCATCTACACAGGTACAATGCAGCCCAGACATTCAACGACACATTTAGAGTCTCCCTTTTTGGGATTGCTAGCACGAATCATGGTCATTTTGCTGATATCATCTGTGAATAATTATGACTGATTTTAAAATATAGACCAATCTTTCACATATTTTAAAGATTACTTTTGTTTAATGGAAATCATTAATTTTTGTTTGACAGTAGAGGGACGAAATGGCCGTTCACATTGTCAAGGCCACAGGCTTTGTCTCTTTGGCTGCCCAACTACCATTCCCAATCATCTCTTGTGCTATGGTGCTAGTTGCAACTCTTGCTATTTGGTCACACTTTAACGAGTAAGAAAAGTAAAAGGAAGGAAAATAGCACTCTCTCCTGAAAGTCTGTCTTCTGTGTCATCATACAACTACCCCAGGAGCCAGAATTTTATCACCAGAAGCTACCATGAGGGTAGAAGGTGTATAAAGATTTTATTCTGAAGGCCATAGATATAGCAAATATGGATGATTCTAGCACTTTAGAGGAAAATAAGCATTCACTATCATAAAGCTTGAAGTAAAAAAAAAACATGGCATTGAGAGTAGAGACAGGGCAACACACCTTAAGACTAATTTGAAGAAATGATTGGCAAGACTTGGTAAATTAAATGTGAAATGTGAGCATGAAGAATAAAAAGTTTGCTTATGATCCCATCTTGCCTCATTTTGTGGTGAGAGGTGCTGTTAACTGAGCTGAGTTTAGAACGAAGAGTATAGAGTGGGAGGGCTGGCTTTACACTTTGTGTGAGAATACAGTAACATATAGTTGTCACGCAGTCATTCAATGAAATAAGAAAGTAAAATAATTTGAAATGGAGATCAGTAAGAAGACAAATAAGTAGGCATGGTGTTTATTGAAGGTAGAAGGCTCAGAAAAAAGTTTTTACTTACCCCCACCCAAAACATTACAATATTTTAGGAGAGCTAATTTATGTTTCCTAGCATTCTAATACAACCTTTTCATCTACACAGGTAAAATGCACCCCAGACATTCTGTGACACATTTAGAGTCTCTTTTATTGTAATTGCTAACAAGAATAAGGATTATTTTGCTGATATCATCTGTGAGTAATTATGTCTTATTTTAAAATGTAAACCAATCTTCCTTGTATTCTAAACATTACTTTTGTTTAACAGAAATCACTAATTTTTCAATAAAATCCCCTGCTTGTAACACAGTTAGCACTTTTATTTTTTTACAATCAAATCAGCCACCATCTTAGTCCTATTTTTATTGCAAATACAACATTCTATTTAATTCTTTGAGTGTGTGTGTGTGTGTGTGTGTGTGTGTGTGTGTGTTTCTTTATGGATTCAACTATAAAATATGCCCTGACTCTTTTAGAAGATTGCAACACTAAGATAAATAGGATTTAACTGCACCAATTAGAGAAGCTATTATAGAGTTCACTTACATCAGAATCTTCACAATTATCCTTCGGGGTCCATTTTTTTAAATCAATTTTTGAAGTGACAAGTGTGAGAACTCACAATTGGTACCTCAAGTCAGAAAACACTCCCTCAGGACAACAAATGAGCTTTTTGGAATCTTGTGTTTTTATATGACATATTACCATAAGTTGTAGTGGTGGTATTTGAATGTGTTGTGTTCATTTCCAGTAAATATTCTATGTGTAATTTTACATGGCATTCAACACTTTTAGTTTTAGGGGTATAGGAGATAAGGAAACTATTATATAGGCTTGTTAATTTTTTTAGGCTACACAATATTTACCCACTGAATGTATTTTGATCCCATGTGGTTGCAAACACAAGAAAATTTTGAATATGTAAGAGGAAAGTTTATAGTACAGGCAGAATTTAACTTAGGATATAAACCTCAGTTAAATTAAAAGTCATGAAAAGGTATATCAGTGAACAGAAATTGGAAGGAAGATGTTAACTCTTCAATGAGTACAATCTGATCAATTATCACATTCTTCATGAGATAGAATAGGTTAGCATTTTGTAAGTCTGGAAAACACTGAGAAATTGTCAGGCATTGATCTATATATGACCATGGATCTCAAACTTTAGTCTGCATCAGGATCACCCTGTTAAAGGCTTGTTAATATACAGACTGCTATGGCCTACGCTCAGATCTTCTGATTTAGTATGTCTAGTGTGGGGCCTGAGAATATGCATTTTTAACAAGTTCCCAGGTGATACTGATGCTGCTGGTCCAGGAATCACTTTGAGTAGTACTGCTCTTTCATGAGCTATACATAAAATGGACAAAATGTAAGCAACTGGCCCTGAAAGAGGGCTAGTTTCTTTGGTTCTATGAATATCAACTTGAGATACTACATCATATTTGATGCTGCATTAACCTTCCCATTAAATTTTATAATGAAAATAATCTCTGAATAAATTTCTAGATTTTTCAAAGAGAGAGGGCCTCTGGAGATATGTTATTTAAACTTGGATGATTTAATTTATACAGTCTATTCTGTGATTAGACTAAATTAAGTTAATGACATTATTTCCCCTAAATACTCCATAGGATCATAAAAATGTTAAGCATTGTTTTAATTTTTAAATAAATAGATGACAAATTTTTAGAGAAATATCTGATTTATCTTACTGGATAAATTTAGAACTAAAAAAATTTTTTGACAGAACTGTAATGCTTAAATGCAATGTCTACTTCCTGCCTCCTATGATAATAGTTCTCACTATTATAAAAAAAAAAAGAGTTGTTCATAGTAGTAGAATCAGAACTGCCAGGGAATTAAAGAAAGAGCTACATTTCAGAGAAAGGATTCTGACCTATATAAGACTGAAACATGTCCCTCCTGCCATGAATATCACACTGAATTCTGGAACAATGCTTTCTGAGGGCTACTTAGACTTTGAAGAAATATAGGGATAAGCAAGTATTCTCATTTTCCCTCATTCTTAACTCCAGTACTTTAAAATAAGTAAGCAAACAACAACCACAAAAAAACACCTATATCGATACTAGGATAAGCCTGAATTACATATTTCAAAATATACTGCTTGCTGCAATATAATTTAAATCAAATTAGAAGAGGGCTTGAAATATATTAAATTTTGTCCTTGGTTGCGTACTACCTTGGTGTACATATTGAATTATAAAATGACAAAAGTCCCACGCTAAGATAATTTATGTAAACAGTCCCTTTTCAAAATAAGGATAAACATACAATGAATTTAACATCAAGGGCTGAAGTTGCATTCATATAATATTAAAGAGTGGTAATAATTTGGAGTCCATTTTCTTACCAATCTTATAAGCATAGCAGCACTCGGAAAATAGTTTTCACTCATTCAAACAAAACATTTAATGAGCACCTACTATAGTCCATCATTCTGGAGATAAAGAACAAAAGCTTTAAGTCACTGTCTTCATAGAACGCATGTTCTGGCAAAGGTAGTTAAGGAACACACGTATGAAAATAAGAATGAGCACATCACAAGGCTGACCCATAACAAAAATTGGGTAATAAGATAGAAAATGCTATTTTAGATAGTATGCTATTGATATGTCATTCCTGATGAGACCTGAACCATAAAAGAGAGCAATGCAAAGATAAAGGAAAAGCATTCCAGATCAAGGGAACAGCTAGTTCAATAGTTTTCGGGCTTGGGGTCTTTATACTCACAAAGAAGTCCAGCAAGTCTGGTCCATAATGAATAATACAGTGTGGGGGATGGAGTTGTGGTGAATCACAGTTACCACATCACATAGGGCATTATAGATAGACCATGAGAAGGGGTTTGGACTTCATTGGAAATAAAATGGAAATCTACTAAATTTATATTTTAATCAGAAAGATATGATAAGATTCATATTGTTAAAAAGTTCGTTCTGTCCACTGTAGGAGGAACAAGACAGGAATCATTCAGCCTGGTAAGGAGGCATAAATTATTAATATATACTAGAACAAAAGAAGAAACATATAATATGTTTAAAAATGGGGAGTCATTCAAAAGTAAAGTAGTACTAGCTGATTTTAATAAGCCCAAATTCAATTTAGGTACTATTTTAGTAATTATCCTTACAACAATATTAATTATGCTTATGGCTTTCTGCCAATATCTCATTTGGCTTTGGTCGTGGAAGCTAATTGCACACTGATAAGAGAAGAGCATTCTGACCTTGTAAATGAATTCTTATTTTAATTGATTTCTGTATAAGCAATAATCAATGCAAGGTAATACAATTATACAGATGTTGACTTTTTTATTTTTATAATTCATTAAAGAGATCTTTCATAGGGGATATCATGAGCTTTGAATAATTTAACAACAATTTTTTCCAATATGTGGAATTAATTATTTAATAATTCACTAGCTGATTAATGATCAATAAGCTAATCTCAGTTTAAACCCATCTGTAACATTTAATGATCCTTAGCCGTATTTCACTAAAACTCCAAAATGAAATAAAGACCTCTATTATGAAGTTGATTTAGGCCTTGTCTATTCTACACTCTCCAATGAAAAATGATGGTGATACACAGTGTTCTCCCAGTGTATCTTAAAACGAAGAATAAAAGTGCTTCCTAAACAAGAATGAGTTATGGGATTTAATTCTAGCTTTGGCAATGATTCATTGGATAACCTTGGGAAAGTTACTTCAACATTCTCATGTGGTTTCCTAGTTGTAAATGGGGATATTAACCATTTGCCACTGAAGTTCTAAGCCTGACTTATGGGATAGTAGTTGCTTACTAAGAATTTTAAAATAAAATTACAAAGCTTGTGATAAGCCAGATATTCTATTACAAATACCAATAAACAAACAAATGTATAAGATAAATGAAAACAGGTTTAAAAGATTTTATGTTCCAGGTACTAGGTAGGTTGCGTACAGGATAGCAAGATGAACAAAACACAGTTGATCTTAAGGACATAATTTTCAAGCCAAAGAGATAGGTTCACATAAAAAATAAATTTATAGACATTGTACATGCTACTGAGAATGACTGGCCATTAGAGTATGAGTCATGAGAGAGGGGACTTCATCTGTCTCATTCAGTATTTTTAACCCACCACTTGGAATGGTGCCTCACTTTTTTGGTCATTCAATGTTTGTTTATTAAGGGAATATTTACAGGATCTCTACTATGTATCAGGCACAGTTCCAGAGCTGGGGATATTAGCATTGACAAGTTAACACCCCTGACCTCAAACACTTATTTATATCATAGTAAGGGAGACAGGCAACAACAAATAAATGAAATATGAGGTATAACATCAGCTAGTGGTAAGTGCTTTAAAGGAATGTTGTCACAGGATGAAACTGAGTGTCAAAGCCTACTATTTTAGGTACATGGAATACAGAAGACTTTTTTGAAGAGGTTACAATTGAAGAGTGGCTTAAAAAATATCAGTGACTGAAACATGAAACATGAAACATGAAATATGAGGAAAATGTACTCTATGTACATCGTAAGTACAGTGTATGGTATGTACTATGATATAAAGTGCACTTTTCCCAGCAAGTACAAAGGTCCTGAGGTGGGAAAGACTTGAGCAATGGGATATTCTTGTAGTTTATGGTAAGAGCCACGTTTTGTCAAAGTGCAATCAGAAAATGTTGGAGGAGTATGAGCAAGGGAGTGACATGATCTGACTTAGGTGCTTAAAATATCACTCTGACTTCTCTGTAGCAGACAGACCCTAGGTAAGCAGCAATAGAACTGTGAAACCTGTTAAAATGCTGTTACAGGGATCCAGGTGAGGGACCCTAGCAGTTTATGTGGAAACCACTGATGTGATAAAAAGTGCTCAGGTCTGCCATTTGTATTTGACATACACCTTGAAGTTAGAGCTAGTGGGATTTGTTATGGATTGGATGTGAGGTATCCCAGAGAATGAGGACTCAGATGCCTACTTTCATGTTCTGAGCAATTGGATAGCGGGTTGCCATTTTGGAAGGATCAGATTATAAAGAGAAATAAATAAAAGATCAATTTGTGAAATATTGGAATTGAAAAGCCTTTGAAATATCCAAGTGGAGATTTGGAATATACTAGTCTGAGGCTCTAGGGTAAGATTAGGCTAGAAATGTAAATTTCATGTCATTGTCATATAGCTGGTATTAAAAGTCACAGAACTGGGTGAGGTCACCATAGAGGAGCTTAGAAAGAAAAAGAAACGTAAATTGCAGGGAAATTCAACAAAGTAGACTGAGAATGGCCAATATGATACGAGGAAATCAGTTTGTGAATTGCACCCTGGAAGCCCAATGTTGCAAATACTCTAGGAAAACAGGGCCCATGTGGACTAGACAGAGGAGAAATATAGGCTATTTACATTTATTGCTTGTTTTTCAGAAACTCTTCTTTAATGGGAGTAGAGGCATCAAAACAGACACAAATTCCAAGGATGAAACAATGGCAGATGAAAGAAATATCTTTGACCTATGCCTCATTGGTCAAATTCTTTCTACTAAAGGGCAAGAATTGAGGTTGCTGCACACCCATATAGATTTGCTGCTAGTAACAGAGAGAGGTGAAAAAGAAAATAAAGAGTGGAAAAAAAGAGAAAAAAAGTATATTTAAATAACAAAATATTCAGTCACAGTGGTTTTCAAATAGTCACAATATTCACTACACAGGTAAGACACAATGACCACTATTAAAACCCAGCTCATCTGGCTCTTGTCTGGTTTGATTACTAGTATCCTCCTGGCTAAATCATTCAATTTAATTAGCATGAGAAAGGGTTAAACATCAGTTAGCAAATGTAAAATATTCCAAAGCTTCTTCAAAAGAGACATCTATAAACACTGAAATTATATTGAAATGACTTACTTTCAGGTATTATTTTCAAAGAGCACAATTATTATATAGCAATATTGTGGCAGAGAACCACATGCCACCTGTTTTCCTCTCTCTACAAACAGGGACAAAATGCTGAAGTTAGTTTGCAATTAACCACTTTGATCTACTTCTGGCAATGCATTCTTCATCTTCTTCATATTATAATACAAGTAGCATCTCTGAATTGAAGGCATTTAACTAAAGAAAAAAGCATAAACACTCACACACAGAAGGAGCAGTAGCAAATTAGAGCAAATCAGCAAGCAAACTATAAGAGGCTGCTTTAGAGCACTGAAATACAACTCAGCTTAAATTAGTTCAACTGAATTTCTTTTATACAACAGCTTAACCCGTGCTTGCTTTGGTCTTAATTTCTAACTAATGTTAAGACATTCTGCTGATGCCACTGATGAATAACAAAAGCAAAAGTTGCTGGGTAAACACAATTAATAACCATATGCAGTATCTTTGTAAACTAAAAGGAAAATAAAATTTGCAAAGGAATAAAATAAGAAATTAGTCATTTTATTAAGACAAGCATAGAGGTAAAAGTAAAACTGAAATAAAATCTCTTCTGTTGACAAATCACGTTTGCTTGGATAAAATAATTGAAGCCAAGAAACAAGGTACTTATTGTTTCTACAGTACTGTTCTTAAAATGCAGTTTTGTGATATCAGATAATATAAGAAAATGGAATCTAAAATCCAGCCTTTCCACTTCACGTTGCTATTATTAAGAATAAAAAGAATGAATTAAAGCATATATATAAATAAAAGCATATATATATAAAAGCACATATATATATATATATATATATATATATATATATATATATATATATATATAAAATAGCACAGGCAAACAATAAACAAGAGAAAACCCATCAAAAGACATGTTTCTTTGTAACCAAAAATTGATGAGTCCATTTCTAAATAAAAGTGTCCTTTGTTGATCTTGAACTCTTGAATTTAAATACTGACATCAGTTCTCATAAGTTGTAGACACTATGATAGAAAATATCTTGGTGATCAGAAAGGAATTATGTAGAAATGTCTAGTGAGGGTTTGGAAAACCTGAATGCTACCAGGAGCTTCCTGAGATATGTTTATGGTTGTGTTAGTGATACAGGTTCAGATGTGGGTAGCTGTCATGACTTTTTAAAAATGTTTATAAAACATACATTTCTATGAACCATTCTGTTTTGTCATAAGAAAACGCATAATTATGAAAGTCTAAACTTCCCTTTTTTCTCCAATTAAAAATGTAATGGAAAACGTAATGTGGAAAATGAAAGCCATTTAGAAACTTTAAGTGAAAGACATAATAAATAATATAAATTATACATTACTAAAGTTAAGGAAAGACTTGTATCTGCAGAACTAAAACATGGTTATCAGAGGGAAAAATCTAGACATAGTAGTGGTATTTCAGAACTTAAAGGATAAAAAGTAAGCAGAGAGAGGGCAAAAATTTCATGAGTAAAGATAAAATTGGCATCAGATACTTATCTCATTGACAACAATGGTGGTTAAAATATAATAGCTTCCAAATTCTTTAAAATCCGTAAACAACCTCAGTAGCATTCAAGGACAAGGGAAAAATAAAAACATTTCTGGTTGTTTAGAAAAACAAAGCAAGGCAACAGGTTTTTGCTTCAGCCTTGACTCATCAAATACAGGAGAATTCAAGAAAATGATGTAGGAGCAGATGGTTTATTGTGGAGGAAAATGACAAGCAGCAGAGTAGGAGACAGGAACGAAGGCAGAAAGGTAGAGAAAGACAATCTAGGGATGCATGTTTATTTTGCGTTGAGTAAATTCTTATTTCAGTAACATAATAAGTTAAATTATTTTAACTGCAGAGTTCAATACATTTTCAGTTATGTCTGCACACATGTAGCTAACCCCCAGTTAAGATAAAAATTATTTCCAGTATTCCTTGTGGGGATGTTTTCCTTGTGGCTGTAATTTTCCATATTCCAATTATTTCTATATATTTCCCTTGGAGTTTAAATTCTATGTACATCCCGGTATTCTAATTTGCATTATTATTGATGGGGTTAACTTCAGTTTGAATATTTTCTGGTGGCCTATATTCAATATTGTTAGTTCTATTTTCTGCTGTTAAAACTATCCACTAAGTTCTTAACATTGTGTATTTGAATTTTTGAATGTTGATTTCATACTTTTTTATAGATTATAATTTTTCTATCAAAATGTCTACTTCCTTCCATTTTGTCTGTCTTTTCTTATGTTTTCTTTAACCTATTTAAGATGGTTATTTTAATATCCTTCTCTGCAAATTCCAATATCAGAGTTACCTGTTGGTCTCTTTCACTTGTTGATTTCCAATCAATTGACACTTTTTTTTATTAAGTCTTATACTTTCTTATTGAATGTCAGGCACACAAAATTATGAATGAAGAATTATAGAGACTGTGAAAGATCTTATTCTCCAAAGAGGTTAAATCTTCTTTAGTAAGGAGGATCACCTTGACCCTGTAAAGAGTTACATTCAGGCTTCATTACAACTGATTTGTTTAGTTTAGCCCTTATGCCTAGGGTTTGGCCTTTCAGGATTTTCAATAAAAACCTGATGTTTTTACCAAGCCCCTCTAACTTGGAGGAATTTGTACCTCAAAACACTTCCTTTCCAGTGGTGGCAGCTTCTGAAATCTTTGGTATGCTCTTTCCAAAAGATTTCTTGGAGTTGCAGCTTGTTGCTTTCCTTTGGATTTCTTGAAGCTGCACCTGGCATGTGCATAGTTTATGAGTTAGACAATAATTTATGAGGAATTTTCATGTAAATTTTGGATTTCTGTGACTCTCTTCTCTTGGGAATTTAAACATACCCCCCACCCCCACCCCCAGTTCCCCCACTACCCCAATTTCCAGCCATTCTTGCATTCCTAACATCTTACCTCCTTCTTCAGTCTGGTAAGATTGTGAATGTCTGCCTGGATTTCATCTTTCTGAGCACAAAGATGAAAGTCCAGGTACATCTGTAATACACCATGTAGCTTTCTTTTTTTAAAGATCATATTATCCCTAGTTTTTGTATTCTTATATTGGTCTCCAATGCCTTCATTTTGGATTCGTAATTTTTTTCCCATAATTTGTTCAGTTTTTATAGGTATTGCCAGCATTAGGGTTTGTCTAAAGTTCTCCATTTCTTATCAGTCACCAAATCCGATTTCTTTTGCTCACTAAATATCTTCTAAGAATCTTAGGATTGGCCAGGTGCAGTGGGTCGCTCCTGTAGTCCCAGCACTTTGGGAAGCAGAGGAGGGTGGATCACATGGTCAGGAGTTCAAGACCAGCCTGGCCAACACAGTGAAACTCCATCTCTACTAAAGATTGGCTGGGCGTGGTGGTGCTCACCTGCAATCCAGGCTATTCAGGAGGCTGAGGCAGGAGAATCGCTTGAACCCGGGAGGAGGAGGTTGCAGTGAGCCGAGTTCGCATCATTGCACTCCAGCCTGGGTGACAGGGTGAGACTCTGTCTCAAAAAAAAAAAAAAAAAAAAAAAAAAGGATTCTCTCCCTGCCCGTTCCACTCCACTGTGACACTATCCCTGTGAAAGCTTCCATAAGCTCTTGCCTACATTTTTACTAGGCCTCCTGCCTTCTCTTTTTTTGCCTCCTGTACCTTACCTGTTCTTTGCAATTGCACTGAGAGTGTGTCCTTCCAAGTTGAATTCTAATCTCTTAACTCCTGTCTCTCCACTATTACAGGTAAGTTGATAATTGATTTGAAATGATTTTTTTGTCCATGGTGTAAATTGTGACACTTTTTCTTTTAAGTTTTAGGATATATCAAATGTCCTCAAAATGTCAGAGTTTTCTGGAATAAATTATATTGAAAAGATCTGATTGGGGGATGTAGTCATCAGGCAAAGATTTAATTCATGCTGAGGAGTCCTTCTGTGTAGGAACTAAGTAAATGTTTCAATGAGGTAACACCAACTACCCCTGAGCTGGAAGTAGAGCAGTTTGGAAGAAAGATGGAAAGTAAACTGGGGAAAAGAAAAAAATTTGGAAAACTGCCCAGTATGTGGCAGCTGGGGATAGGAATGGTGTCTGAAGATAAACATGAGCATTGGTGTAGTAATCTCCCCATAATAGTCCTCACTGAACCCCTGCAGAAGAGTTGCAGAGCTCCTATAGTTTTAGTTCCTTCAAGAAGTTTCAGAAAAATTATGCCAAATGGTACACCTTCAGATCGTTTCTTCCTTTCTCCCCAAAACATGTATAACAGACACAGCTTAATTTTCATAACGACCAGGGTTGCAAGACTGTGTGACCCAGGGAATAGCTGCTGGTGAAGAATAATTATTAACCTACTTTGGAAATTACATTCTCTGGACCTTACACTCTGAATGGTTGAAGTGCTACTACTAGGCAAAACATCAAACTTCTCTTGCTTTGTATTGAATTAACAAAACATGATTCCTGAAGGCCAGCTACACCTCCTTATTAAGTACTTTAAATCTCAGAATATATTAGTATTCTTTTTATGCTCATTGTCCTGAAAAACACAAAATCTTTGAGAATTCATCTGATGTAACTGTAACAAAAAGGCACTTTAAAATAAATACCAGAGAACGATACCACATGTATAGAGCATTGAAATATTACTTTTTCTTTGAATAGTTATACATATTTGCCACATGATTTTCATCAAATATTTGGTGTTTTCCTTTAACTGAAAGTAACTATGACATATTTTAATGTCTTGCTTTTCAAACCAAAGAACTTGCTGACTCCCCAGAACACACTTGTAAATAACACTACATTGAAATTGAAATGTTGTCAATATCTGATCATGGACACGAAAGTGATTTTTAAAAATATATTTATTTTTAGAGTAGTTTTGGCTTCACAGCAAAATTGAGCATAAGGTACTATCGGGGGAAATTCACCCCCGATATTTCACGTAGGTTCTTTTCTATTTTTCCTAAGTGTCAGCCAGTCTGAGAAATAAAGGGACAGAGTACAAAAGAGAGAAATTTTAAAGCTGGGTGTCCTGGGGAGACATCACATATCAGCAGGTTCCGTGATGCCCCCAAGCCGTAAAATCAGCAAGTTTTTGCTAGTGATTTTCAAAAGGGGAAGGAGTGTACGAATAGGGTGTGGGTCACAGAGATCACATGCTTCACAAGGTAATAAAATATCACAAGGCAAATGGAGGCAGGGCGAGATCACAGGACCACAGGACCAGGGACAAATTAAAATTGATAATGAAGTTTTGGGCATGCGTTGTCATTGATAACATCTTATCAGGAGACAGGGTTTGAGAGCAGACAACTGGTCTGACCAAAATTTATTAGGCGGGAATTTCCTCATCCTAATAAGCGTTGGAGTGCTACGGGATACTGGGGCTTATTTCATCCCTTAGTTACGACTACAAAAGACAGCCATCCCCAAAGCGACCATTTCAGAGGCCTCCCCTTAGGGATGCATTCTCTTTCTCAGGGATGTTCCTTGCTGAGAAAAAGAATTCAGTGATATTTCTCCTGTTTGCTTTTGAAAGAAGAGAAATATGGCCCTTTTATGCCTGGCTCACAGGCAGCCAGAGTTTAAGGTTATCTCCCTTGTTCCCTGAACATTGCTGTTATCCTGTTCTTTTTTCAAGGTGCCCAGATTTCATATTGTTCAAACACACATTCTCTACAAACAATTTGTGCAGTTAACGCAATCATCACAGGGTCCTGAGGTGACATACATCCTCCTCAGCTTATGAAGATGATGGGATTAAGAGATTAAAGACAGGCATAGGAAATCACAGGGGTATTGATTGGGGAAGTGATAAGTGTCCATGAAATCTTCACAATTTATGTTCAGAGATTTCAGTAAAGACAGGCATAAGAAATTATGAAAGTGTTAATTTGGGGAACTAATAAATGTCCATGAAATCTTCACAATTTATGTTCTTCTGCCATGGCTTCAGCCAGTCCTTCCATTCAGAGTCCCTGACTTCCCGCAACATCTCTCCCTTTCTTTTTATATAAATGTGCCATGGTGATGAAGGCTTGTTCGTTCTCTTGATTTTGATGCAGGATTTTTTGACTGGTCCAGCACACTAAAAACAAGCCGATTAAACAGAGAAACATAATTCCAAAATTTACTACAGTGGAGCCCCCAATAGACTTAATCCAAGTCCTGGGGTTTAATCCATAAAGATTTTCTGCCACCTGATCTAAAGCCTCAGCTCCAGGCACAATGAATAGGTGAGCTTGAGAAGCTTCAAAAATTTGTTTTTAATTTAGTTATGTCCAATGATAAATTATCTTCCCTACCCAGAAGGTGTCTTTTGACGATTTCCCATGAATGATCAGTCTCGTTATAGGAATACGGGTGATACAGAAATCCAAAGTATTCCAATCACACTGCATTTGCATGTGATGTTCGAGACTCACTACCCAATCTCCAAGCCAAATAACTGACTGTCTTAAATCATTAATTTGATTAGCCAATTTTTGATCAATGCTTTGTTGAGAATTCCACATTTGGGTGGAATTGGCTTGCCAATCATTAACAAAATGAGCTGTTTGAATAGATTGATGTAACGCCATTCTGGCAGAGGTGGCCATTGCAGTGACGGCCATTGCAGTGACTGTAATTAAACCCATGGGAGCCGTCCAACCTGGCATGCCTGCCCCTGCTTTAATACCTAAAAATTGGCCTCTCATAGTTATTGATCTTAAAGATTGTTTTTTTCATATTGCCTTACATAAATCAGATTGTGAAAAATTTGCTTTTACTGTACCATCTAAATATTCCTGGCTCCCAAATATGCACAACCTCCCCCACTATCAACATCTTGCATCAAAGTGGTGTAGTTATTACAATTGATGAACTTATATTGACGCATCATTATCACTCCAAGTCCGTAGTTTACATTAGGGTTCACTCTTGATGTTGTTCATTTATAGATTTGGTCAAATGTATAATGACTTGTCTTCAGCATACAGAATACTTTCACTTCCTTAAAATTCCTGTGATCCTCTTCTTCATCCCTTTCTCCTCCCAACCTCTGACTCCACTAATCTTTGTACTATTTCCATAGTTTTGCCTTTTCCAGAATGTCCTATAGCTAGAATCATATGGTATGTAGCCTTTTTAGACTCGCTTACTTCACTATCGTATTAGATGTTCACCCATGTCTTTTTATGACTTGATGGCTCTTTTATTGTCAGAGAATAATATCCCTTTGTCTCGATGTACCATGGTTTACTTATCCATTTATTACTGAAGGACATTTTCATTGCTTCAAGTTTTAACAGTTATGAATAAAGCTGTTATAAACATCTGTGTGCAGATTTTTGTGTGGACATAGGTTTTCAACACTTTTGACTAAATGACAAAGAGTAAGATTGCTGGATTGTATGGTAAGAGTAGGTTTAGTTTTGTAAAAACCTGCCAAACTGTCTTCCAAAGTGACTGTACCATGTTGCATTCCCACCAGCAATGAATGAGAGTTCCTGTAGCTCCACATTCTTGCCAGCATTAGTGTTGAAAGGGTTGCCGAAAAGAAGATCTCACATGGTTTGGACGTACCACAGTTTGTTTAATCATTCACCTGTTGAAGGATATGTGGACTCTTTCTAGTTTTTAGCTATTAGAAATAAAGCCCCTATAAAAGGTTTAGGCTTACATGGGAACATAAATTTTCATTTTTCTGGGACAATTGTCCAAGAGTTCAATCCCTAAGTTGTATGACAATTATATGTTTAGTTTTACAACAAACTGCCAAACTGTCTTCCAGGGCAGGTGTACCATTTTCCATTCCCAGCATTAATATCTGAGTGATCTAGTTCTCTGCATCTTTACCAGCATTTTGTGCTGCCACTTTTTTTAGTCATTCTGATCTGAATGTTATGATATCTAATGGTGGCTTCAATCTGTTTTTCCCTAATCAATAATTATCTGAACATCTTTTTATATGCTTACTTGCTATCTATATATCCTCCTCAGTGAAATGTCCATTCATATCTTTTACTATTTTACACATTGGATTGATTCTTTTACTGTTGAATTTTGAGAATTCTTTATACATTTGCTATGGTCCTTCCATCAACAGCCTTCCATGCACACCACCTCCACTCAAATGCTGCCCTTTTGAACACAGAGAATTCTCATATATCTGCGGGATTCAGTAAGAGTCTTCTGATCTTCACATTCCTTTCTCCTCTATCAGTTTGGAGTTTAGAAACTGCCCATTACTGATACACAGAGTTTAAACTATATTTTTCGTAGATCTCAAATCTTCAAATAGTGTGATTTATAGGCTAAATTTGTAGGAACTATTAGTAAATGTTTCTTCTTTGGATTCATTTTTGACCCTGATTAATTTGGGAATCAGTCATATGTGTTTGTATAGGCATGTGAAGAATCTGTACATATCCAGGGATATCAGGACTAAGGTAAAAGTAATTTCAATCTTATTTGTGTCTGCTGAGATTCTTTTACTTTTCTTTCTCAAGATTCCATCTCTAGTTGCTCAGTGTCTTCATTTTCCTTGATACCTGGGGTCTTACCTGAATGTATTTATTTCCCTTTCTCACATAAAAAAAGACATATTTGTTATTCAGAAAATGCTGTATATCTTTAATTAAAAATATATAGCATATATGTTTAAACACATTCATTCATATGTTTAACTGTATGAATTTTTCTGTATGAGTGCATCTTTGTATATTTTACCTTCCCTTTATTCTAAGTAATATATTCCCATCAATTCATAACAATATCTAATAATACTTTTCCCACATCCCTGTCTACACACATACAAATATATTCTCTAAAATTCTCTAGAGCAGAGATAAGGACTTGTAGGAGCCTGATGTTTGCCTCTACAGTCCTTTTTCTCTGCAATTATGCCTGTATTCATATACATCTAATCTTATCTTTATTTTTTCACATAAATGGAATTATACATTTCTCTATACTCTTCTTTCTATTCCATAGCAAGCTCTGGAGGATAACTTCTTTGTTCCTATTGGTATTTATTCAAAATATTGTTTGTCTCTCAATTACTTTAAGTTGTATTTTATGTCCTTTAGCAAAGTTCTCAAGTTTTCTACTTAGGCATTTCTTATTGCTATGTTGCTAGCTACTGTGGTTTTGGTTGTTCTTTTAGAAAGAAATGACTATGTTTTGCTGTATTAGTTATTGTGATTACAGTGACATTTTATTCTAATTGGTTTACAAATATTCTTTATACATTAAGTAGTAAAGTGTTCCAGGAGTATTGCATCTAGTTTGCTTAATTAAGACATTTAATTTTAACTTTGAATATCATTTCTATTTTATATAAAGAATTTAAAGTTATTGAATATTTTAATTTTCCTTTCATATTTACTTTATATTTTCACTATATTAAAGTATTAGTGCATAAGCAAAGTGAACAAATGATAGTGATGCAGCTTTATGAATTTTCACAGTGAGCCCTCTTATATAACCAAGAAATAGAGTGAGGAATAAAACATTACTCTTTGAGAATTTGAGAAGATCCCTTCATGGAACCTCCTAGATACTCCTTTTCCTCAAAACTAAATGCTATTCAAAGTTATAAACTAATATTCATGTCTGTGTTTGAACATTATATAAGTAAAAGTTTGTTGTATAATATATACTGTGTAGTGATAACAACCATACCATGGAACACTACTCATTAAGGAAAAGGAATGAACTATTGATTTGAGCAACAAGTTGGGTGATCTATTTGGAATTATACCAAGCAAAGAAAGCAAATTTCAAAATGTTATTTATTGCAAGATGCCATTTATACAACATTCTGAAATGACAAAATTTTAGAATTAAAGAATAGTGATTGCTATGTGTTGGGGATAAAGTGGGAAAAGGCAGGAAGAATTTGAGTACAGTTATAAAAGGGTGACAATGGGATCCTTGTGGTGATGGAACTCTACAGTATCTTAGCTGTGATGGGGAATACACAAACTTGCACTAGTGATAAAATTCAACAGAGCTAAACATCCATGGAGACACATACAATGAATAAACTAAAACTGGGAAACTGAATAAGATTAGTTTCATATATTGATGTCAGTATTCTGTTTGTGATGTTGCACTATACTTTTACAAAATGTTACCATTGATGTAATTGTGTAACCATGTAAAATGTACACTGGTATTTCTGTGTAGTTGTTCTCAAGTTTGCACGCAAATCTGCAGTTATCTCGATACATATTTTACGTTAAAATAATATTTTTTTACATTTAAAAATCAAATGAGTGTTCTTTCATTGTTACCTCTTGAACAATTCAATCCTAAATCCATTAGGTGGGAGTGATCAAGGTAGGTATCTCCAGTTGACAGTTGGTGAAAACAATGACCCAAAGCAAGATGTCAGAGCTTGATCATAGTGAGAAGTATACCCTTGGCAGGCAGCTTGATATAAGGTGTCAGAGAGTGAGCAGGATGAGGAGGGCTTCCACACCTCTACTGTGGTGTGTCAAAGTCCAAGAAAGTAAGGAGAGTGTTCACATTGAAGGGCTGACCTGGTGCATGGTGCCAGAGCACTAACAGGGTAAGGAAATTGTCCATGCTGAGGAGTGGCCCAACATGGTGAATCAGAGGCCACAAGGAAATATAATTGAATAGCTACATATTGGGGAATTTTACATATGTTATAAGGATAATAGCAGCTTTATTTTTCAACTGTCATCAAAAACAAGGTACAACTACCAACAAAAAAAATGTAGAAATGGCAAAAGCTAAACTACTTGCTAAGGTATGGGATTGGAATTGAAGTTGTTACTGGGAACTCATGTATATAGGTAGAGAAATAAATAGAGATGAAAATGACTCTTTGTTGACCTTGGAGTAGTGACACTTTAGTAGCAATGAGCACACATAGCATCTAAATCTCGGCTTCTAAATAACATTCATCATTAAAAGGAAACATGGCTCTGGAAAAATATCTGATTTCAAGACAGCCAAAGAGAAACTACAAAATGCACTTACGACACCTTTTACACCAGAAAGTAAGAATGTGTTCAGTGAGTAATAGAGACATTTCAAAAAGACACAAGAACCACTTTAAATAACCTTCCACTGAACAAATTATAGACAATATGTTTATCAAAATAATAGTAATGAATTATAGTCTACTGAAGATAATAAATCCATGAATCCTGGCAGATATCAGTGATCCAAGTAGAAATCATTCATAACAGGACAAATTTAAATCTTTGTTACCAGACAGGATTCAATGAGAAGAATACCACATCACACTTGCCAAATTTCTGCCAAATATATATTTATAAGTTTGTTCTCATGCTGCTAATAAAGACATACCCCAGACTGGGTAATTTATAAAAGAAGGAGGTTTAATGGACTCACAGTTCCACATGGCTGGGGAGGCCTCACAATTATGGTGGAAGATGAAATAACAGCAAAGGGACTCCTTACATGGTGGCGGGCAAGAGAGAATGAGAGCCAAGTGAAAGGGGAAATCCCTTATAAAACCATCAGATCTCAAGAGACTGATTCACTACCATGAAAGCAGTATGAGGGAAACCACCCCCATGATTCAGCTATCTCTCACCAGATCTATCCCACAACACGTGGGAATTATGGGCGTTACAATTGAAGATGAGATTTGGGTGGGGACACAGCCAAACTACATCAATATAGAACTTGAGTTTCATCATAAGGCAACCCATAATTAGAAACCAAAATTGAGCAACATTCCTAAAAAACAACTGGCCTGTAATTTCCAAAAGGGTTAAAGCATGGAAAAACAAGGAAAGGCTGAGGAATTGTTCCAGTTTGAAGAGAACTAAAGAGACATATTAAGTAAAATGAGTAATCATGAATTACAAAGAAATTATTACTTTACATAAATTAATGGACAACTAGTAAAACTTGAGTGGGGCATGAAGATTAGATGGAACTTATGGTTAATGTTAATTTATGATACCAATTCTTTTTATTTTCGCTATGTAGGAGGATATTCTTATTTGTAAAAAATATACAATAAAGTGTTTGAGGATAATGGGGAATCAGGTCATTACCACACAGATAGTTCAGGAAAAATGTTCTTTGACTAGAATTACAACTTTTGTGTAAGTTTTTGATTTCAAAAATTCTGAAGGAAAATACAAAAACTAATACCTAAACACAAAACCACAAGTGAGATCACAGAAGTGTGGGCCTGAGTTTGTAAGTAAGAGAGAATGCAGCAAGTCCAAAATGGTTCAATCTCCTGTAACATGAATAATTAGCATACATAAGTAATAAAGTTTATGCATCCACTATGCCTTACTTGCTCTGCCTGAGACACTGATGCTCAGAAGAAAATCCCAGGTCTGGAAGAAAGTGAAGCTCCTCCTGGTTGGGTGCTATTTTAAGCTGATTTGAATTTCTGGCAATCATGATAGCCTGAAGCTTTGATTGATCTCCATGGACCCTGCTGCTATCAAGATGGGTAAGAGACCGCCAAAATATTTTACTCAAAGATAAGAAGTCATCAGAGATAATGTCTGCAAATGCTCACACTGGCTATAGGTAAGGCTGAGTGAATATTTGACGTTATAACATCATCCTGCCTTTTCTGGATTGTTCAACTACTGTTTGCAAAATTTTGTATGTAGTAAAAATATAAATATTTGCAGTAATATATCACAAGCATTTCTATTATCCTGGTAACGTTAACTTTAACACACATGGATTCATGTTTACAGTTTCTCAGTATGTAGAGGCAGTCAGTGGCTCACACCTGTAATCCCAGCACTTTGGGAGGCCAAAGCGGGAGGATCACGAGGTCAGGAGATCCAGACCATCCTGGCTAACATGGTGAAACCCTGTCTCTACTAAAAATACAAAAAATTAGTCGGGTGTGGTGGTGGGTGCCTGTAGTCCCAGCTACTCGAGGGGCTGAGGCAGGAGAATGCCATGAATCCAGGAGATGGAGCTTGCAGTGAGCCGAGATCCTGCCAATGCGTTCCAGCCTGGGTGACAGAGCGAGACTCTGTCTCAAAAAAATAAAATAAAATAAAGTAAAATAAAAAAGCAAACAACTTTACCACATTTTAATTTTCCTTCTCCTGCACATTTCTCGACAGATAATTAATATATTTTCATATTCTCATGAGGATATTACATTGCTTTTGTAAATCTTGTGTGTATTGAACTAAATCTGTTTATTTGGATGTTATCATGATTAATTATGTATTTTAATGTATTTCTAACATTGTAATTTTTGCTTTGTGTATGCCCACTCTTTCATGGTGAAGTAATTACCCTTACTTTCTAGGTTCTTTGTCAAAAATTATTGAGCCAACTAAAATCAATGCTGTTGTTTTTTTTCCACTACTGATTTTACGTCTCATCTATTTGTATTTCCAAACACATTTTCTATTTTGCAATATTTTCTTTTTTGCTAAACATAACACAGACGACCTCTAGATACAAAAATAGTTCTTAAATATCCTCAAATTATCTTTATTTCAATGTTGGCTTAAATGTGTACAATGATAGATCTAAAGTGATTTTACTTTGGAACGTTGAATGTTTCTTCCAGTGTCTTCTATAATTTTTTCTAATTTCCTAAACATGTCTTATAAGAGGTCTAATGCCAATGTGATTTTAACTTTTAATTTCTTTCTAAATAGTAATCTTTTTTTCTCTTTTGGAGATATTAGGAATTTGTCTTTACCTTTGGAATTCTAAAATGTCACTGAGCTTTTTTCAGTGTTTTTTTTTACTTCAAACTCAGAAAGATATTGGTTCTTCTGTGTGCTTCATGTCTCTCCATTTCTATAATTTTTTATTTTTAATTGATACATAATCTTTGTAGATATTTATCAGGTACATGTAATATTTTGATACATGCGTACAATGTATAATGATCAAATCAGTGTAATTAGTATAGCCATCATCTCAGACATTCATCATTTCTTTGTTTTGGGAACTTTCCAAATGTTCTCTTTAGCTATTTTGAAACATGCAATTATTGTCCCCCTTCCATTTGACACACTCTATAACTTCCTCTTCAATTAAATTCATTATAATATTTTTCTAATATGATGGCTTTAAACTATGTAATAATCATTTTAATTTATAAAGTTATATATATATTATTTCTTTTTCTATATCTAGTTCTTTTTATGGTTATGACTTCCTTTCTTTTTTCTATATCAGTCATCCCTGTTTTAAATTCTCCTTGTGTGCTTCTACTAATTCTGGTTCCTTGGTTTTATTAAGATTATGACATGCACTGTCTTGTTTTTCTTTAATTTTTTATTTTCAAATAATTTTACATGAAAGATGTAAACATGTTAAAAAGAATTCCCATTATTCTTTATACACTAATGTTAATATCTGACATAGCTATAGTATACTTATCAATACCATAAACTTATCACAACATTGAAATAATGCTATTAATTAATCATAGAGTTTATTCAAATTTTGCTGATTTTCCTACTAATAATCTTTTCCTTTCTGGTATCCAAGCTGGTATAGCACTTTACATTTAGTGTTAGGTGTTTTTCAAACTCCAACAGACTCCAGCACTTCCTCAGTCTGTTTTTGTCTTCCAGAACCTTAATAATTTTGAAGAGTTACTTTGTAAACTGTCTCTCAATTTATATTTATCTGTAGTTTACCTGTAATTACATTAAAGCTATTCAGTTGGCAATATTACAACAAAAGTGATGATGTTTCCTTCCCAGTAGAACAGAGTGTACATGATATCCACATCTCATAACTGGTGGTATAAGCGTTGATCACTTGTTTCAGGTGACATCCTGTGTAAAGTTGCAACTTTTTCGTTATATCACTGTATTGGTTTTTTATGGCTATGAAACAAATTACCCCAAGTATAGAGACTTAAAACAACACCCATTATATCTCACAGTTGTGAGAGATCGGGAGACTTTTCTCTGCTTATCTGGCTCCTCTGCTCAAGGTTGCATAAAGCTTTAGTCAAGGTGCAGGCCACATCTCATCTGTGGGCTTGATTGCAGAATAATCCACTTGCAAGCTCATTCCAGTTGTTGGAAGACTTCACTTACACTTTATTTGCATGTATGACTCAGGCTCTCAACTTTTCTCAGCGAATACACAGTGATATCCAGTAGTCTCTAGAACCTAAGGATTGCTTCCAGTCAGTAGCCATCCTTAGTATAAGTTAATACTAAAATACAACTTTTAATATGATCCTTAATATTAGTTCAAAGAGTTCTCTCATTTTTTTTACAACTGCTTAGTACTTCAATGTATAAACTAACCATATTTTATTAAATTGCTGTCTTATCTGTGGACATTTAGTTTACTCCCATTGTTTTGCAATTACAAACCAGTGCTGCTATGAGCATTGTGCTTATATAGTTCATACTATTGGAAGTCTAGCACCAGAGAAGGTTCTTGTAAGTGGAATTGGAGGACCAAAATAAAGTAGTATATGTAGTTTGGTTAGGTTTTTCCAAATTTCCTTCCAGAAGGATTGTACAAGTTTAAATTCCCACCAGGATTCTATGAAAGGATTTGCTTGCTCTAGCTTTGGCAGCAGAATATGATGACATACATTTATTAAATGTCAATCTGATACAGAATTTTAGTTTGCATTTATCTCACTGTAAGAGTTGGAAAATTTTTCATATGTTTTGGTAGTCATTTTAATACTCTTCTGAGGCAATTTTTATCGTTTTTCTCTCTTTTTCTATTGAGTATTTGAATCCCTTTTTCTCAATTTAAAAAGTATTTTTTAACATATTGAAGATATTAGTCCTTTGTCTGTAGAATATTTTATCCCAGTTTGTCGACTGTCTTTTACTTTGTTTTACTTTTTTCATAAAGTGCTTTTGCCATGAATTTTTAGAAATTTTATGAATATAAAATCAGCAGTTTTTTTGAAAAATTGCCCCAGATTTTGAGCCACATTTAGAGAGCCCTTCCCTATATTAAGTTTAGAAAGTAATTAAGACAGGTATACTTCTAATACTTGTAGAATTGGATGTTTTACATTTAGATCATTGATTCAGTTGAAATTTATTTTATTTTATTTATTTATTTATTTATTTATTTTTTATTATACTTTAAGTTTTAGGGTACATGTGCACATTGTGCAGGTTAGTTACATATGTATACATGTGCCATGCTGGTGCGCTGCACCCACTAACTCATCATCTAGCATTAGGTATATCTCCCAATGCTATCCCTCCCCTCTCCCCCCACCCCACAATAGTCCCCAGAGTGTGATATTCCCCTTCCTGTGTCCATGTGAGCTCATTGTTCAATTCCCACCTATGAGTGAGAATATGTGGTGTTTGGTTTTTTGTTCTTGTGATAGTTTACTGAGAATGATGGTTTCCAGTTTCATCCATGTCCCTACAAAGGACATGAACTCATCATTTTTTATGGCTGCATAGTATTCCATGGTGTATATGTGCCACACTTTCTTAATCCAGTCTATCATTGTTGGACATTTGGGTTGGTTCCAAGTCTTTGCTATTGTGAATAATGCCACAATAAACATACGTGTGCATGTGTCTTTATAGCAGCATGATATATAGTCCTTTGAGTATATACCCAGTAATGGGATGGCTGGGTCAAATGGTATTTCCAGTTCTAGATCCCTGAGGAATCGCCACACTGACTTCCACAATGGTTGAACTAGTTTACAGTCCCACCAACAGTGTAAAAGTGTTCCTATTTCTCCACATCCTCTCCAGCACCTGTTGTTTCCTGACTTTTTAATGATTGCCATTCTAACTGGTGTGAGATGGTATCTCATTGTGGTTTTGATTTGCATTTCTCTGATGGCCAGTGATGATGAGCATTTTTCATGTGTTTTTTGGCTGCATAAATGTCTTCTTTTGAGAAGTGTTTGTTCATGTCCTTCGCCCACTTTTTGATGGGGTTGTTTGTTTTTTTCTTGTAAATTTGTTTGAGTTCATTGTAGATTCTGGATATTAGCCCTTTGTCAGATGAGTAGGTTGCGAAAATTTTCTCCCCTTTTGTAGGTTGCCTGTTCACTCTGATGGTAGTTTATTTTGCTGTGCAGAAGCTCTTTAGTTTAATTAGATCCCATTTGTCAATTTTGGCTTTTTTTTAAGCCCGTCGGAAAAGCGCAGTATTCGGGTGGGAGTGACCCGATTTTCCAGGTGCCGTCCGTCACCCCTTTCTTTGACTCAGAAAGGGAACTCCCTGACCCCGTGCGCTTCCCAAGTGAGGCAATGCCTCGCCCTGCTTCGGCTCACACACGGTGCGCGCACCCACTGACCTGCGCCCACTGTCCGGCACTCCCTAGTGAGATGAACCCGCTACCTCAGATGGAAATGCAGAAATCACCCGTCTTCTGGGTCGCTCACGCTGGAAGCTGTAGACAGGAGCTCTTCCTATTCGGCCATCTTCTGAAATTTATTTTTGAAAAGGGTATAAGGTATAAATCTAATTTTATCTTTTTTATTTCCAAATGTATACACTCCTGTCCTTGTATTTTTATTAACTAAAATAGTCTATCTTTGCTACAGTGATTTATGATGCCACTCTATTCATACACTAAATTTCAAATGCACACAGTTGTGTTTCTGGTTTTTTTTTCTGTTCTATTTCAATAATATATCTTTTATTCATGAACAAGTATTACACTTTTTTTTTTTTTTTTTTGAGACGGACTCTCGCTCTATTGCCCAGGCTGGAGGGTATTGGTACAATCTCGGCTCACTGCAATCTCAGACTCCCGGGTTCAAGTGATTCTCCTGCCTCAGCTTCCTGAGTAGCTGGGATTACAGGCACGTGCCACCACACCTGGCAAACTTTTGTATTTTTAGTAGAGATTGGGGTTTTACCATGTTGGTCAGGCTGGTCTCCATCTCCTGACCTCATGATTCACCTGTCTCGGCCTCCCAAAGTGCTGGGATTACAGGCGTCAGCCACCACACCCGGCTTCACAGGTTTTTAATTACAGAGGATTTAGAGTATATTTTAATATCTTGCAAAATTAGTCTGCCCCCATTTATTTTTAAGGGTTTTATTGGATATACTTAGATTTTTTTCTATGTGAATTATGGCATCAACTTGTCTAATTTCATAATAAATCATTTTGATATTTTGAATGATATTGTATAATATTTATTAATTAATTTAGGGAGCAGTTATATCTTAATAATATTGAATTATCCTATCCAAGAACAGGGGTTATCTTTCATTTGTTGAAGCCTAGCTGTATGTTTAAAAAAAATTTTCAAAATGTTATGATAAGTTTATAAAAAATTTTCTTGAGATAATTGCTAAGTATTTAATATTTTATGGTACGTTCCTTCCATACCCAGTTTTTTGAGGATTTTTCTTACAAAGTGATGTTGAATTTAATCAAATGCTTTTTCAGCATCAATTGAAGTGATCATATGGTTTTTTTCCTTCATTCTGTTAATATGATGTATCATAATGATTGATTTGCATATGTTGAAAATGGAACACATTTGTTGCTATTGTAAACAGTGTTCTCTAATTTATTATTTTTTGTTTCTATATATGTCATTTTAATTTTTTATTTCAATTTTTGTGGATACATAGCAGGCGTATCTGTTTATGGGATACATGAGTTGTTTAATACAGGCATGCAATGCATAATAATTATGTCATGTGAACATTGAACATGGGGTATCCACCACTCAAGAATTTATCCTTTGTGTTACAGATAATCCAGTTATACTCTTTTAGTTATTTTAAAATGTACAATTAAATTATTATTGAGTATAGTCACCCTGTTGTACTAACAAATATTAGGTCTTATTCATTCTTCTATTCTTTTTTTAAAGCATTAACCATTCCTACCACCACCACACCACTCCTCCAACCTCCAGCCCACACTACCCTTCCCAGCTTCTGGTAACTATACTTCTACTCCTATCTCCATGAGTTCAGTTATATTGACTTTTTAGATCCCACAAATAAGTGAGAGCGTGTGACGGTTGACTTTCTGTGCCTGGCTTATTTCACTTAGCATAGTGACCTTCAGTTCCATACATGTTGCAAATGACAGGATTTCATTTGTTTTTATGGCTGAATAGTACTCTATTGTGTATAAGCACCATATTTTCTTTATCCATTCTTCTGTTATGGTCACTTAGATTGTGTCCACATTTTGCTATTGCAAAAAGTGCTGCAACAAACAGCAGTGCAGCTGTCTCTTCGATATACAGATTTCCTTTATTTTGGGTATATACCCAGCAGTGGGATTGCTGAATCATTTAGCAGTCCTATTTTTAGTTTTTCAAGGAATCTCCAAACTGTTCTTCATGTTGGTAGTACTAATTTACACTCCTATCAACAGTGTAAGAGGGTTCCCTTTTTGCCACATCCTCGCCAGCATTTGTTATTGCTTATCTTTTGGATATAAGCCATTTTAACTGGGCGAGATAATATTGCATTGTAGTTTTGATTTGCATTCCTCTGATGATCAATGAGATCGAGCACCTTCTCATATGCCTGTTTGCCAATAGTATGTGTTCTTTTGAAAAATGTCTATTCAAATCATGTGTCCATTTTTAATCAGATTATTAGATTTTTTTCCATACAGTTGTTTAGCTTTGTATATATCGTGGTTATTAATTCCTTGTCAGATGGGTAGTTTTCAAATATTTTCTCCCATTTTGTGGGTTGTGTCTTTGTTGATTGTTTTCTTTGCTTGTGCAGAAGCTTTTTAACTTGATGCTGATAGACGCAGGAGGCAGATAAGGGAGGATCCCCAGAGAATCTCCGATCCACCCCACAAGTGTTTGTATCAGTTGATTTTGTGCAAATGAGGGAACCTGCCCAGGGTCTTGTCTGGACATGCCCACAATAGACTGGGGGCCTGCCTGTGCACTGGGAGAATGCCCTGGAGCTACCAGAAATACACGCCTTATGCAGGTAGGAAGGAGCCTGACCTCTTCAGCTGGTGTGTGTGGTGGCCTGGTACTCAGTCTGTGAGGTAGGAGCTTTTTGACCAATCCCCCCTTTTTTTTGCTGACAGTTTTCTTTTAATAAATTCTGCTCTCCTCACATTTCCATGTGTCCGCATGCCTAATTTTTTCTGGTCATGTGACAAGAACCTGGATTTTGGCTGAACTAAGGGACAAAAAATCCCGCATCAATGTGATCCTATTCATTTTTCCTTTTGTTGCCTTTGCTTGTCTTTCTGTGCCTGGGTTATTTCACTTAGCATAATGATCTTCAGTTCCACCCATGTCGCAAATGACAGGATTTCATTTGTTTTTATGGCTGAAAAATAAGGACTCCATTGTGTGTAAGTACCACATTTACTTATACACTCAAGACATTTTTGCCGTGACCAATGTCCTGGGAATTTTTCCCAATGTTTTGTTGTAGTAATTTCATAGTTTGAAGTCTTAGATTTAAGTCGTTAATCCATTTAGATTTTATTTTTTTACATGGCAAGAGATAGGGATCTAGTTTCATTCTTCTGCATATGGATATCCAGTTTTCTTAGTACCGTTTATTGAAAAGATTCTCTTTTCCTCAGTGTATGCTTTTGGTACCTTTGTTAAAAAATCAGTTCACTGTAGGTGTGTGGATTTGTTTCTAGGTTCTGTCTGCTGTTCCATTGGTCTATGTGTCTGTTTCTATGCCAATACTATGCTGTTTGGGTCACTATAGCTCTGTAGTATATATGAAGTCAGGTAGTGAGATTCCTCCAGTTTTACTCTTTTGGCTTAGGAGAGTTTTAGCTATTTTGGGTCTTTTGTGGTTCCATATAAATATTGGGATCATTTTTTTCTATTTCTGTGAAAATTATCATTGATATATTGATAGGGATTGCATTGAGTCTGTAGCTTGCTTTGGGTAGTATGGACATTTTAACAAGATTGATTCTTCCAAACCATAAACATGGAATAATATATTTCCATTTCTTTGAGTCCTCTTCAGTTTTGTTGATCACTGTTTTATAGTTTTAATTATAGAGAATTTTCAACTTATCTTGGAATTAAGTTAATTCCATAATATTTAATTTTATTTGTGGCTACCACAAATGAAATTAATTTTTTATTTCTTTTTCAGATTGTTCACTGTTGACATATAGAAATACTACTGTTTCCTGTATGTTGATTTTGTATTTTGCTACTTTACTGAATTTATTTATCAGTTTTAATAGTTTTTTGATGGAGTCTTTAGTTTTTACAAATGTAAGATCATATCACTTGCCAACAAGGAGAATTTTAATTCTTCCTTTCTAATTCGGATGCAATTTATTTATTTCTCTTATTTGATTGCTCTAGCTAGGACTTCCACATTCTGTTGAGTAACAGTGGTAATATTAGGCATCCTTGTTGTGTTCCAGATCTTAGAGGAAAGGCTTTCCATTTTTCCTCATTCAGCATGAAACCAGCTTTTGGTCTGTCATATCTGGATGTTGTTATGCTGAGGTATGTTTCTTCCATACCCAGTTTTTTGAGGATTCTTATTATAAAGTGATATTGAATTTAATCAAATGCCTTTTTAGCATCAATTGAAATTATCATGTTTTTTGTCCTTCATTCTGTTGCTACGATGTATCACAATGATTGATTTCCCTATGTTGAACCATCTTTGCATCCCAGAGAGAAATCCCACTTGTTCATGATGAGTAATCTTCTTAATATATTGTTGAATTTGGTTTGCTAGTATTTCATTGATGATTTTACATCAAAATCCATCAGAAATATTGGCTTGTAGTCTTTCTTTTTTTCTTTCTCTTTCTTTCCTTCTTTCTTTCTTTCTCTTTCTTTCTCTCTTTCTTTTTCCTTCTGTCTTTTTCTTTCTCTTTCTCTTTCTTTTTTCTTTCTTCTTTCTTTTACTACTACTCTTCTTCTTCTTCCTCTTCTTCTTCTTCTTCTTATTCATCTTCCTCTTCTTCTTTTGATGTGTCTTTGTCTGGTTTTAGTATAGGATAATACTAGCCTTGTAGAATGATTTTGGAGGCATTCCCTCTTCCTCTGCTTTTTGAAACAATCTGAATAGGATTGCTATTTGTTTCTCCTTAAATGTTTCTTAGAAGTCAGCAGTGAAGCCATTAGGCCCCAGACTTTATTTTACTGGGAGACGTTTTATTATGGCTTCAATCTTGTTATGTGTTGTTGGTCTGTTGAGGTTTTAAATTCCTGTATTGTTCAGTCTTGGCAGGTTATATGTACCTAGGAATTTGTCCATTTCTTCTAGAGTTTCCAATTTATTGGCATAAAGTTTCTCATAGTAGCAACTAATGATTTTTTAAATTTCTTCACTATTACTTGTAATATTAATTGTAATTACTAGTTGTAATGTCTCCTTTTTCATCTGTAATTTTTATTTATTTGGGTTTTCTCTCTGTTTTTCTTAATTAGTCTGGCTAAAGTTTTCTCAGTTTTTTTTAATCTTTTCAAAAATCCAACTTTTCATTTCATTAATCTTTTCTATTGCTTTCTTTATTTCAAATGTATTTATTTCTTCTCTGATCTGTATTATTTCTTTTCTTCTATTAATAGGGGGTTTAGTTTGCTCTTACTTCACTAGTTCATTAAGATGGAACACTAGGTTGTTTATTTGAAGCTTTTCTTCTTTTTTGACATAGGTTCTTACAGCTATTAACTTCCCTATTAGTACTGCTTTCACTGTATCCCATAGATTTTGGTATGTTGTCTTCCAACTTTTGTTTCAAGAAACTTTTCAATTTCTTTCTTAATTTTGTCATTAACCTACTGGTCATTAAAGAGTATCTTGCTTTGTTTTCATGTGTTTGTGTAGTTTCCCAAATTCCTCTTGATATTGTTTTATAGTTTTATGCCATTGTGGTGAGAGAAGATGCTTGATATTATTTCAATTTTTTTGAAAGTTTTAAGGCATTTTGTTAACTAAAATGTGGTCTATCTTTGAGAATGATCCATGTGCTGAGGAAAAGAGTATGTGTTCTTCCACCGTTAGATGAAGTGTTCTGTAAATATATATTAGGTCCATTTGGCCTATAGTGCAGAGTAAGTCCAATATTCTTTGTTGGTTTTATGTCTGCAAGATCTATCCAATGCTGAAAGTGAGATATTGAAGTCTCTAGCTATTATTATATGGAGGCTGATCTCTCTCTTTAGCTCTAACAATATTTGCTTATATATCTGGGTGATCTAGTGTTGGGTGCAATTACACGTAAAATTGTTAAACTCTTTTGCTGAATTAACCCCTTTATTGTTATATAGTGACCTTCCTCATCTCTTCTTATAGTTTTTGTCTTGAAATCAATTTTGTCTAATATAAGTATAGCTACTCCCGCTGTTCTTTGTTTTTCATTGGCATAGAATATCTTTTCCATCCTTTTGTTTTTAGTCTATGTGTGTCTTTATAGGTAAAGTGTGCTTTTTTGTTTGTTTGTTTGTTTGTTTTTTGAGACAGACTTTTGCTCTGTCACCCAGGCTGGAGTGAAGTAGCGTGATCCCTGCTCACTCCAACTTCCACCTCCGGGTTCAAGTGATTCTTCTGCCTCAGCCTCCTGAGTAGCTGGGATTACAGGCACACGCCACCACACCCAGCTTATTTTGTATTTTTAGTATAGATGGGGTTTCACCATGTTGGCCATAGTTGGTCTTGAACTCCTGACCTCAGGAGATCCACCCACCTCAGCCTCCCAAAGAACTGGGATTACAGGCATCAGCCACCATGCTGGCCTAAAGTGTGTTTCTTACAGGCAACAGTTCATTGGGTCATTTTTATAAAATCCAGTCAGCCACTCTATGCCTTTTTATTGAAAAATTTAATCAATTTACATTCAATGTTATATTGTTAAGTAAGGGCTTACTTCTGCCATGTTGTTATTTGTTTTCTTTTCTTTTTTTTTTTTTTTTTGCTCTCTTCTTCCTTCTTTCCTTCTTGCCTTCCTTTTAGTGGAGGTGACTTTCTATGGTGATGTGATTTAGTTTCTTGATTTTTATTGTTTGTGTATTTGTTGTATGTTTTTTGGTTTGAGGTTACCATGAGCCTTTGGGTTGAGGTTACCCTAACCTTTTTGTACTTGTATATTGATAACTTTCTCCAGGCATGGAAAATTCTCTGTTATTATCCCTTTGAATAAAACTTCCACCCCTATCTCTTTCTCTACCTCCTTGATAAGGCTAATAACTCTTAGATTTGCCCTTTTGAGGCTATTTTCTAGATCCTGTAGGTGTGCTGTATTGATTTTATTCTTCTCAGTTTTTCTTCTCTGACTGTGTATTTTCAAGTAGCCTGTCTTCACGCTCACTAATTCTTTCTTCTGCTTGATGAATTCTGTTGTTAAAAGACTGATGCATTCTTCAGTATGTCAATTGCATTTTTCAGCTTGAGTATCTGCTTGATTCTTTTCATTTATTTCAATGTCTTTGTTAAATTTGTCTGATAAAATGCTTTCTTCTCTGTGTTATCTTGCAGTTCTTTGATTTTCCTCAAAACAGTGACTTCTGAATTCTCTATCTGAAAGGTCACATATCTCTGTTTCTTCAGGATTGGTCCCTGGTACCTAATTTAGTTCATTTGCTGAGGTCATGTTTTCCTGAATGGCCTTTACACTTGTTGATATACATGTGTGCCTGTGAAGTGAGGAGTGAGGTATTTATTGTTGTCCTCTCAGTTTGGGCTTATTTGTACCTGTCCTTCTTGGGAAGTCTTTCCAGATATTTGACATGATTTGGGTGTTGTGATTTAAGCTATATCTGCTTTAAGGGGCACCCAAGCCCAGTAATTCTGTGGTTCTTGCAGATTCATAGAGGCACATTCTTGATGGTCTTGGAAAAGATTCAGAATACTCTAGATTGCCAGGCAGAGACTCTTGTCCTCTTTTCTTATTCTTATTTTTTTTTCCTCAAACAAATGGAATGTCTCTCTCTTTCATTTTTTTTTTTTTTTTTGAGATGGAGTGTTGCTCTTTTTGCCCAGGCTGGAGTGCAACGGCATGATCTCAGCTCACCGCAACCTCTGCCTCCTGGGTTCAAGCAATTCTCCTGCCTCAGCCTCCCAAGTAGCTGGGATTACAGGCATGTGCCACCACATTTGGTTAATTTTGTATATTTAGTAGAGATGGGGCTTCTCCATGTTGGTCAGGCTGGTCTTGAACTCCCAGCCTCAGGTGATCCACCCTCCTCAGCCTCCCAAAGTGCTGGGATTACAGGCATAAGCCACCATGCCTGGCAGAGTTTCTCTCTTTCTTAGCCACTAGAGCTGTGGTGGAGTGACACAAGCATTCCTACGGACACCACAACTCATATCGTGCTAAGTCAGACCTGAAGTCTGCACAGCACAGTGTTTTACCCAAAACCTGCTTTAACAACTCCCTGGCTGTCACCTATGTTTGCTGTAGGCCCTAGGGCTCTGCAATCAGTAGATGGTGAAGCCAGCCAGGCCTGTGTCCTTCTTTTCAGGGCAATGTGTACCCAGAGTCTGGCCATATCCAGAGGTGCCATCTGGGAGCCAGAGACTAAAGTCAAAAACCTAAATACTCTACCTGGTGTTCTATTGTACTGCAGTTGAGCTGGCACTCACACTGCAAGGTGCAATCCTTCTCATCCTTCCCTCCTTTTTTGAAGGCAGAGGAGACTCATCTTGTGGCCACCACCACCACAGGCCCTTGAGAAGTACTACCAGTCTCCCGTCAATATTTCATTAAGACTCAATGGCTCTTCAGTGAGCTTGTGGTGAATACTGCCTGGCTGGGTCTCAACTTTCAGGTTTGTGGGCTCCTGTCTGGCTCAGAGCAGGTCCAGAAATGCCATCAAAGAACCAAGTCCTGGAATTGGGGATCCCAAGAGCCCACTTAATGTTTTACAACCCTATGTCCAAGCTGGTATCTAAGGTACAAGACAGAGTACTCTTTACTTTTTCCTTCATTTTTCTCAAGTGGAAGAAGTCTTGCCTCATTGACACCACAGCTGGGAATTTGCTGAGTCTTATGTCAAGCCAGCAAGTCTCTTAGAGTCTCACCTAAGGCCCTTGAGGTATTAGGTGGTTATTGCTGCTAGTGATTCAGGGCTCAAGGGCTCTTCAGTTAGCTGGTGATGAATCCTGCCAGAACTGGGTTTTTTTCTTCAAGGCAGCAGCTTCTCTTCTGGTCAAGAACATGTCCCAAAATGTTGCCCAGGAGCCAGGGCTTGGACAGGGTGACTCATGACTTTGACTGGTGCCCTATCTTGCTGTGGCTGAGCTGGTATCCAAGATGCAAGACAAAGTCCTCCCCATTCTTTCCTGTCATCTCCTTGAGAGGAGCTACCTGTTGTGAAGCCTGGGGCTGTGAAAGGGTGATGCCAGCATTATCTTAGCTGCTCCAGCTAGTGGCTCAGTAAGCTGTTTGCCTTCCCAGTTTAATGGCTCTCGGCCCAGTTTAGCACTAGGACTTGCCTAAGAGTTGCAGTCTTTTGGCCTAGACTGTCTTCCAAATTAATTTAGAGTCCCAGAGCACTTTAGAAAATAGTGGGGAGGCTTGGTGTGGACCACTATGATGACTATTCCCCTCTGGCTAGGGATGATTCAAATTCTGCCTCCATGGGCAGGCATCAGCTAAGTTTGGTTTAGTTTTGTTTTCTTCTATAACAGGGCAGTCCTGAGTTCACTGCCTCACATTTACTGTGCTCTCCCTCTCCCCAGCACACTGTCTGCACCATGCTGTTGGGGTATGAGGAAGGGTTAGCATTGGCAATTTAAGACTGTTTATTTTTCTACCTATCACTGCCCATTTCAGTGATATAAAATTAAAACCAGGTACCGTGAGTATTTACCTGGTTTTTGGTTCAAATGAGGTACTTTTTGGTGTGGACAGTTGTTAAATTGGTGTGCTTGCCAGTGGAACAATCAGTGGGGAGCCTTCTATTCCTCCATCTTGCTCCACCCTTCCTCCCATGAATGTACTTTTGAAACAGATATATCGAGCTATACTTTATATAACATAAAATTTTCCCCCTTAAAATGCATAGTTCAGTGTTTTTTGTATATTGACAGATATATGTGACTACTGCCACAATTTTAAAACACTTTCATCATCTCCAGAAAAAGCTTATATTTTTAAACTATTTCCCCTAACCCTTAGATCTCCTATTCAGCTCTAAGAAATTAATCTACTTTCTATCTCTATAAATTTCTCTATTGTAAACTTTCAAATTAATAAAATCATATATGTGAAATTTTGTAACTGTATACTTTCACTTAGCATGATGCTTTAAAAATGCATTCATGTTATAGCATGTATCAGTATTTCATTTTTATGACCAAACAATATTCCATTGTATAGATATATATACCATGGTTTGTTTATCCATTTTTCCAGGGATGAACAATTGAATTTTTTCCACTTTTAGGCTATCATGAATTATATTACTATCAACATTTGTGGACAAGTTTTTGTGTGGACATATATTTTCAGTTATCTTGGTCATTTGTATATTTTCTTTGGAAAAAATATATTAAAAGCTTTTGTGTATTTTTAAATTAGTTTATTTGTATTTTTATCATTGAGTTGTAAGTGTTCTTTATGTATTCTAGAAACAAGTCCTTCACCAGATACATAACTGCAAAGACATTTCATTCTGTGAGTTGTCTTCACATTATTCTTGTTTTGTTTTGTTTTCTGTTCAGAGACAGGGTCTTCCTCTGTCACCCAGGCTGGTATGCAGTGGCTGGATCATGGCTCACTGCAGCCTTAAACTCCTGGCCTCAACCAAGCCTCCCACCTCAGTCATCTGAGTCACTTGGATTTCAAGCATGAGAGACAGTGCCCATCTCTCTTTTCACTGTCTTGATGATGTGCTTTGCAGCACAGAAGTTTTTAATTTTTAAAAAAATCCAATTAGGCTATTTTTTATTTTATTGTTTGGGCATATTGGATTACATTGAATAATTCTTTGCCAAATACAAGGTTATGGAGGTTTACCCATATGCTTTTTAAAAATAGTTTTAGCTCTGATATTTGGATATTTAAATTATCTTGAGTTAATTTTTGTATGTGGCATAAGTTATGGGTTTATATTAATTTTTTTTGCATGTGAGCATCCAGTTTTCCTAGCATTATTTTTTGAAAAAAAAACAGATTTCTTATGGTCTTGACTTATATTTACATGAATATGGTTTATAATCTGTATATATAAAGAAATTAAATAAAAACTAATTAATTTATATTTTCTATTCTGTTTCTGTGGAGAGCACTGACTAAAACAAGTTGTATTCCTAGTTTTTTTGTGGTTTTATCATGAAAAAGTAAGGGTGTTGGAGTTTATGAGACTTTTTTTCTTTACCTATTGATACTATCATGCAATTTTGGCTTGTTAGTCTGTTGATAAGATGTATTACATTAATTAATTTTCAGATGTTACACCAAGCTTGCATCCCTGGGTTAAGTCCTACTTGTCTATGTTATATTGTTCTTTTTGTATGTTACTGGATTTGGTTTGGTAGTGCTTTGTGTTTGTTTTGAGGAATTCTGCATATATATTTATAAGAAATATTGGCCTGTAGTTTGCTTTTCTTATATGACACATATGATGCCTCTGTCTGGTTTTGGTATCAGATTAATATTGGCCTTATAGAATGAATTGAGAAGTGCCTTCTTCAATATTTCTGGAAAAGTTGGTAAAGAATTGGTATTACTTTCTTTTCGAATGTTTGGTAGAATTAAGCAATGAAGGCTTTTGTGTTTGAAATTTTATTCATAGTCATTGGATCACTGATTCAATTTCTTCTTTTGTTATAGGTTTATTCAGATTGTCTGTCTACTTGAATCAATTTGGGTAGAGTGTGTCTTTTAGGAATGTATCTATTTCATCTAAGTTATCTAATGTGTTGGTATACAGTTGTTCATAGTGTTTATAATCCTTTCTATTTCTATAAAGTCTGGAGTACTGTCTCCTCTTTCATTTTCTTATTGTATTAATTTGCATCTTCTATCTTGTTTTCCTTGGTCACATAGGTAAAGCCTTGTTAATTTGGTCAACCTTTTCCAAAAACCACCTTTTGGTTTTATATATTTTATCTATTCTTTTTTTATTCCCTAGTTCATTAATATCCACTCTAATGTTTATTAATTTTCTTCATTCTTTCTGCTTAAGGTTTAGTTTGCCATGTTTTACTACTGTCTAAGGTGGAAAGTTAGCTTATTGATTTCAGATTTTTTTTCTTTTTCAGCTCTTTTTAACTTTTTAAGGCTATTGAAGCTATACACTTAACCCTCAGCACTGCTTTAGCAATATCCCATAAATTCTGATGTCATGTCTTTTTACTCTTTCAAAATTTTTTTTTATTTTCCTTTTTATAGTTTATTTTATTTTATTTTATTTATTTTATTTATTTATTTTTTTGAGATGGAGTCTCGCGTTGTCGCCCAGGGTGGAGTGCAATGATGTGATCTCAGCTCACTGCAACCAACGCCTCCAAGGTTCAAGCGATTTTCCTGCCTCAGCCTCCTAAGTAGCTGGGATTACAGGTGCCTGCCAACATGCCTGGCTAATTTTTTGTATTTTTAGTACAGACAGGGTTTCACTATGTTGATCAGGCTGGTCTCAAACTCCTGACTTCATGATCCTCCCTCCTCGGCCTCCAAAAGTGCTGGGATTACAGGCATGAGCCACCGCACCCAGCCTTGATTTTGTTTTTTGATCTGTTAGTTATCCAGGAGTGTTTTGTTTAATTCCCACATATTTGTAAACTTCCCAAATTTGTCTTGCTATTGATTTCTAACTTCATGCTACGGTAGCTGAAGTACATATTTTAACTATTTCAATTCTTTACATTTATTAAGATTTGTTTTATGTCATAGCATATGATCTATTATAAAGAATGTTCTCTGTGTGTGTGGGGGAAGAATTTATATTCTGTTGTTTATTTAGGATGGAGTGTTCTTTTGATGTCTAGTAGGTCTAGATAGTTTATAGTGTGGCTTAAGTCTATTTTGTTGTTAATCTCCTGTCTAGTTGTTACTTTGTCATTGAAAGTAGAATACTGATGCATCAGCCTATTATTGTTGAATTGTCTGTTTCTTCCTTCATTTCTGTCTTCTTTGTTGCATATATTTTGGTGTTACATTATTGATTGCATACATATTTATAGTTATTATATTTTCCTAATGAATTAAACTTTTAATTGTTATAAAATCTCTCTCTTTATCTCTAGTAAACATTTTTTGTCCAAATTTACTTTATTGGATGTTAGTATAGCTAATCTACATTTACTGTGATCTGTGATTACTATTGCCTGGAATATCTTTTTTCATTCTTTTATTTTCAACCTATTTTATTTGAATCTAAAGTTTGTCTAAATTTGTCTAAATTTGAATCTAAAGTTTGTCTAAATCTAAATTTGTCTTTGAATCTAAAGTTTGTCTCCTGTAGACAACATTTAGTTATGTCCTGTTTTTAACCAACCTGACAATCTGTGGGTTTTTTTTTTTTGCTTGTTTATTCACATTTAATGCTACTATTGATGTGGTTAAATTTGCATCCCCCATTTTTCTTTTCTGTTTTCCATATGTCTATGTCTGTTTTTCTTCTTTTCTTCATTTGCTGCTTTCTTTTTGATTGAGTAAATGTTTTATAACATAAAATTTTATTTTATTAGTAAATTTTTCACAGTATTTTTAAGTTATTTTGAGAGTAGGTTCTCTAGGGTTTACCATATACACTTATCAAAATTAGCTTCAGATTCATGCTATCCTAATTCCAGTAATATATAGAAACATTATTTCTATGTAGCTCCATTTCTTTTTACCCTCCTTTTGGGGTATTATTGTTCTACTTACTACATCTATTAATTTTACAAACCAAACAATACATTTTCATAATTATTATATTATAATCTGTCGTTATTACGTTAGCCCATTATGGCTTTGCTCCAGCCCACCTTCTTTGTGCCATTATTCACAAACATATTACATATACATTACATTTGTATGTGTTATGAGCCTAAAAATCCATTATAAACATGATTCTATTCAATTGCTAATTCTGTTAGTTAATAAAAGAAAGAAAAGGATCTGTATTAATAGTATATATTATAGTTATGTAAGTACCTTTATCAATGCTTTTGCTGTTTATATGAATTCAAGTGACCATTTGTAGTTACTTGCTTTCAGCCTGAAGAACTTCCTTTACTACTTCTTGTAAGATATGTCTATTAGCAACATATTCTGTCAGTTTTATTCATTTGGGAACACCTTTATCATACCTTTATTTTTGAACAATACTTTGCTTGATATAGGGTTCTTCACTGATATTTTTTCTTTGAGAATTTTGAATAGGTTATCTGATTTTCTTTGGGCATCCTCTGTTTTTACTGAGAAGACAGCCATTAGTTTTACTGGAGATCTCTTGTGAGAAACATTTTCTCTTGTTGTTTCAGATTGCTATCTGTAAAACTTTGAGTATTTTTACTATGGTGTGTCTGTGGGACTCTGTGTGCTTATCCTACTTGGAGTTTGTTGAAATATCTAAATTTGTTTATATTATTTATATTATTTATTAAATATGTAAATTTATTGTTTTTTCAATAAATTGGGGAACTTTTCAGCTAGCCTATCTTTGAATAACTTTTTTTTCTTTCCATTCCTCTGATATTCATATTATGTGTATGTTGGTGTGCTTAACGTTGTCCATATTTCCCATATTTCTCTGAGGCTGTCTTTATTTCCTTCATTATTTTTTCTCCTTGTTCTCAACTCACATAACCTTTATCATTCTATCTTCAGGTTTGCTAATTTTTACTTTTGCTAGTTCTTATCTATTATTGAGCCATTCTAATGTATTTTTATAATTTCAGTTATTGTAATTTTTCTTTTTGAGAGATTGTTTATTCTTGTGTATTTTTTTAATTTTTATTTTTTAACTTGTAAATTGACAGAATATAGTTGTATTTTTTCTGGGGTAAAAAAGAATTTTATGATTTATAAATATAATATGGAATAATTACATCAAGCTAATTAAAATATCCACCTTTTTAAAATACTTCTTTTTGTGGTAAAAACATTTAAAATTTATTCTCTTAGATATTTTGAAGTGTACAATACACCATTATTTACTATACTCACCATACTATGTAACAGATCTTGGAGTAAAAAATAATAATAAAATTTATTCCTTCTGTTTGATTGAGATCTTATACACTTTGACCATCATCTCCATACCCGTGGCTTCTGGTCATCTCCATTATATTCTCTCCTCCTTTTAGTTTGATGCTTGAGATTTCACATATCAGTGAGAATATGGATCTTTCTGTGCTTGTCTTATTTCATTTAGCACAATATTCTCCAATTCCATGAAGGTTGTCACAAAAGACAACATTTCTTTCTTTTCTAAGGCTAAATAATATCTCATTGTGTATTTTTACCATCTTTTCTTTATCCATTTTTCTGTTGATGGACACTTCAGTTTATTCCATAACTTGGCCATTGTGATGTTCAGTATATATTTATATGTGTGTGTGTGTGTGTGTGTGTGTGTGTGTATACATGGTATATGCTGCAGTGAACATGGGAGTGCAGACTACTCTTTGACATACTGATTTTAAATTTGGGAGGTAAATATCCAGAGGTGGGATTGCTGAATCACATGGTAATTCTATTTTTAGTTTTATGAGCAAACTCCATACTGTTTACTGTTTTCCACAACAGCTGTACTAATTTACATTTCCACCAACAGTGGAATAAAGGTTTCCCTTTATTCCACATCCTTGGTAATACTTGCTAACATTTGTCTTTTTGATAATAGCCATTCTGACAGGTGTGATGTAATGCCTCATTTTGGTTTTAATTTGTATTTTCCTAGTGATTTGTGAGGTTAAGCAGTTTTTTCATGTATTTGATTGTCATTTTTATGTCTTCTTTTGACACATTTATTTAGATCCCTTGCCTATTTTTAATTGGATTATTTAGTTTCTTTCCTTAGAGTTGTTTGGTTGCTTATATATTGTATTTTTCTCTCTTTAGTGAAATTCTCTATTTGATGTGACATCGTAATTATGCCTTCCTTTACTTCTTTAATCAAGATTTCCTTTACTTCTGTGAATATAATTATAATAGCTACTTTGAAATCTTTTCCTTTTAAATCCAAAATCTGAATGCTTTCACAAGCATTATTTGTTGTTTTACTATTTGCATGCCTGATAATATCTTCTTGGACGTTGGACATTTTTAATAACATATTGTAAAATCTTTGGGTATATTCCCCCCACCCCAAGCTTGTCTTTGTTATAAGTTTTCTCATTTTTCAGTGACTACCAAATTATTTTAGTAAAACTAATTCCCTCGCACAGTGTTAAGTCTCTGATGTTGCTCCTCGAAAACGTAGTTTCGAGTATACCCATGATTACTCTGTGATGACTGTGGTAGAGCTCTCTCACCCACTCTTTTTCTGGTCATATCCAGCTGTTAAACTCTACTCATTATGGGCCAATTGCTGTATTATTTACAACACTGTCCTGCAGCAAAAATTTCTGTATGAACTAGCCTATTCAAATTGGAGGCTCTTTCCAAGGAATAGTTTTTGAGTCAGTGTTTGATATTTTGTTCTTACTTCAGAAGAGCTCTTCTAGCTGTCTGGTTTTTTTTTTTTTTGCAAACTATCTAGCCTACAGTCTAGGCTGCATCTTTATTAGATCCTCAAATTTCCTCCCAATTTTCTTCACCATAACCTTCACTGTTTTGAGAAACTTCTTAGACTTAAACTTTTCCACACTCATTGCAGATGAAATATGTTATTTAAAGGATAAGTTAGGAGCTGTTTTACTGACTGGTTCTCCCTCCACTCCAACCAAAATCTCTGAACCAGGGCTTTGTAGCAGGGAGTGGGAGTAGAGACAATGGCAAGCTTCTTTTTGAGTGACACCCCTTTATAGTAGCTGCACATTTAGCAACAGGATCCTTTTGGCTTGCTTCTTTGGGGATGGCACCTCTGTCTACAGAGCTAAGGGAAGGAAATTGTGTTCCCGGTATTTTCTGTGAGCCAAGCCCAAGGCAGAGCTTCTGTTCCAGGAGCATGGGCTGAGCAGAAGGGAGACACCACCTCTTGACTACACTCACCCAAGACTTAGTTTCAGCAATAGAAAACAAGGAGCGAGATGAAAAATGTGAAGTCCTGCCCCTAGTAAGAAAACCTTTTGGCTGAGAGCTGAAGGTAGAAGGAGCCCTGTTTTTTGGGTTGCAGCAGTCCAGAGTTGATTCTCTGCCTTAACTAGCTGGGATGTGGGAGGGAAGAAGAGCATCGGGGAGAGAAGCAGAGGATGTAGGAGAGGAGAGGGCAGACCCTCACATACTCTACCAAATTTTCATACAGTTTCTTGAATATGTGTTTGTTCATTTGTTATTTGCCCTTATGACTATTTCAAGTGACTATTTTGAGACAGAGCGGAGATTCCTTCTTAGGGGCCTGTACTCCTGTCCCAAGGCATGGAAATAAAGGAAAATCTTCAGTATCTTCAAGAGAAATTCCAGGCGCCTAGTTAGCCATGAGAAGTAAAGAAGTGACTTGATAAGCAAGAAAGCAATAGTAGCCTAAAACAATAGCAAAGTTAGAGTCAGGAGATGTGCTAAGATAACATCTTAACATATACCTATGAGCTGTTTTTCAGAAAGCTGGACTCCTACTAAATGGATCTGTCAACAAATAAACTTCAGATAAGAAAGAAGGGAGGACTGAACTCTGAACTATTATTTGTTATGAATTTCTTCCTGAGAGCCCTAGAGGGAGTCACACCCATGAGCCAGAGCTAATATTCTTTTCTGCTGATTCTAAATTTTTAAACCATATTTCTCTTCCTTTACCAATTACAAATAAGAAAATGTTTGAATCTACTTATAATCTGTAAGCCCCTGTTGAAAGATATCCCACCTTTTTAGGCCCAAATCAATTTGTAACCTCCCGGTATTGATTTACCATTTTGTCCGTAACTTTTGCTGGGCTGAAATTTACACCTGCATTTGAAAACCTTTACCTGCAAGCCACTAGGGAGGTCAGAATTTGAACATTAGCTGCCTGGTCCTCCTTGCTTGGTGCCTTACAAATAAGCGTGTCTTTCCTACTCTGCAAATTCTCACTGTGACTATCTGGTCTTACTGTGCTTGGAGAGTGGACACTAGTTCAGCAGTATAACAATTTTAAAGTAAATGTTTCCAAAATTTCCAAAATTCACTGGGAAGTCAATCAGCAGAGCTCACCCTGTCATGCAGGAAGTTGATCTATGGTCACTGATTTTCACTGATTTTTTTTTTTTTTTTTTGAGATTGAGAGACAGGACCAGCTGGATTTCCTAGGCTCACTAAGAATCCCTAAGCCTAGCTGGGAAGGTGACCACATCCACCTTTAAACATGGGGCTTGCAACTTAGCTCACACCCGACCAATCAGGTAGTAAGGAGAGCTCACTGAAATGCTAATTAGGCAAAAACAGGAGGTAAAGAAATAGCCAATCACTATCGCATGAGAGCACAGCAGAGGGACAATGATCAGGATATAAACCCAGGCATTTGAGCCGGCAAAGGCTACCCTCTTTGGGTCCCCTCCTTTTGTGTGGGAGCTCTGTTTTCACTCTATTAAATCTTGCAACTGCACTCTCTTCTGGTCCGTGTTTTTACGGCTCAAGCTGAGCTTTCGCTCACTGTCCACCAGTGCTGTTTGCCTCCGTAGCAGACCCGCCACTGACTTCCATCCCTCTGGATCCAGCAGGGTCTCTGCTGTGCTCCCGATCCAGCAAGGTGACCATTGCTGCTGCCGATCGGGCTAAAGGCTTGCCATTGTTCCTGCATGGCTAAGTGCCCGGGTTCATCTTAAGTGAGCTGAACACTAGTCACTGGGTTCCACAGTTCTCTTCCGTGACCCACGGCTTCTAATAGAGCTATAACACTCACCACATGGCCCAAGATTCCATTCTTTGGAATCCGTGAGGCCAAGAACCCCAGGTCAGAGAACATGAGGCTTGCCACCATCTTGGAAGTGGCCCGCTGCCATTTTCGAAGTGGCCCACCACTATCTTGGGAGCTCTGGGCGCAAGGACCCCTGGTAACAAGATCGTGTCTCATTCTGTCACCCAGGTTGGAGTGAAGTAGTGCAATCTCGGCTGACTGCAACCTCTACCTCCCCAGTGCAAAAGATCCTCCCACCTCAGCCTCCCAAGTAGCTGGGACCACAGGCGTGCCCCACTACGCTCAGCTAATTTCTTGTATTTTTGGTAGAGGCAAGGTTTTGCCATGTTGCCCAGTCTGGTCTTGAACTCCTGAGCTCAGTCAGTCCCTGCGCCTTGACTTCCCAAAGTGTGGTATTTTTATATCTTGTCATTTTACATCATCCTTATATCATTTAGTATTTTTTAAATTGTTGATGTAGAGTTTCCCAAGAAGACAATTATACTCTTGTAAAAGAGATAGCTTTATGCATTCTTTATCATTCTTACGTGTCCAATTTGTCTTGTCTAATTGCGTTGGCTAATACCTCTATTACAGTGCTGAGGAGCAGCTAAGATAGTAGGCATCTTTGCAATGTTTCTCAGGATGATGGACATGACTCTAATGTTTTTCCATTAAGTAATATACTGGGTTTATAATAATGGTATATATAGCTTACCAAGTTTTAAAATATATAATTTCCCATTGAATTCCCCAAATATTAGAAATGGTCATGATAACAATGATGTTGATGATGATGACAATAATGTTAATGATGATTATTGACTGACTAAATTTTCATTTAATTCTATTGTGGTCAGATAATATATTCTGTGTGATTTGAATGCATTGGCATTTATTGGCTTGTGTTTGATAGACTTTCTTTATGGTGCATCTTGGTAAAGGTTCAGTGTCTACTTGAAGAGACTGTGTTTTCTGCTGCTATTAGATAAAATGTTTTATAAATATCAGTTTGTCAGGTTGATTGATTGTGTTGAAGTTTTCTATATTCTCACTTATTTTCAGTCTAATTGTCTATGAAGTATTGAGATAGTTAAGGATATTTACATTTCATATTACAATAGTGAATTTTTCTCCTTTACATTTAATATACAGATTGTGTTTAGACCCATAAGAATTTTGGATTATTATATCTTCTATTGAATTGGCCTTTTAGATAAAATGACTCCCTTTATTTCCTGACAGCATTCTTGCTCTGCAATTTACTTTGTCTTATAGTAATATAGCTACTTCAACTTTCTTTTTATTTATGTTAGCATGGTACATATTATTTTTACATCCGTTTCCTTTTAATCTGTGTCTTTATATTGTCTTATACATAGCATATAGTAGTGTGTTGCTTTCTTAGACAATCTGACAACTTCTGCCTTTTAAATTAGGTGTTTAGATCATTAACATTTAATGTGGTTATTGATATATTTGGATTTAAATGTACCACATTGCTATTTCTTTTCAACTTTTATGATCTGCCTTTGTTCCTTTTTTTCCTATTATTTTCTGCTAAATTCTATTATCTTTATTTTCAAAATATATTCTTTGCATTATTGCCATCGCCACTGCCACCACCCTAGATACAAGCAGGGCCACCTTTGTCCTATAATCTTTATTAGCCTTCTAACACTTTTAGAGCCTCTCTTCTAACATCTTTGCTTCTACTCTTGCCTATCAAAACTTTTGCCCTATGCACAACTGTAAATTTCATCACATTACCTACTCAGCCAAATGATTACGTGGCCTTTCATTATAATTCATTTGGAAGTGCTTATTTAGCCTAAAAGGCCATACATGCTCTTGCTCTTGGCTTACTCTACAACCTCATTTTCTTCAAATGCAGTCATCCCTCAGTATCTGTGGAAGATTGGTTCCAGGATCTGCCATGGATACCAAAACTCACAGATGCTCAAGTCCCTGATATAAAATGGTTTATTATTTGCATATAGCCTATGTGTATCTTCCTGTATATTTAAAATCATCTTTAGATTACTTATATCTAATACAATGTAGCTGCTATATAGATAGTTGTGATGATGTATTGTTTAGGGTACAATAACAAGAAAACAGCCTGTATATGTTCAGTACAGATACAATTTTTTTTTTTTTTTAATTTATGGCTGGTCGAATCCATGGACGTGGAACCCATGAATATGGACGGCCAACTGTATTATTATTCATTGTGCTTCAACCACACTCTCTGTCATTCTTTTCATCAAACACTGTAAAAATGCAAATGCTTCCATTTCAAGTTTTGCACTCACGATTCCTTCTGCCTTCCCCCAGATGTTTTCTTTGCTTGCTGTCCTATTTTGTTTCTTTAGTTCTTCAGATGCCCCTTCTTCAGGAAGTCTTTTCCTGATAATGCTATCCAACCCATGTTCCTCAATTTATACTTGACACCTCAGCTATATTTTAGTTTAAAATACGACATTTATCTCAAACTGGCTTCACATTATGTACTTGTTATTTATTTAAATCTCCCTCCCTTGCTAGAAAGTTAGCTTTTAAAGGGGCCTGGATTTAATTTGTTTTGTCTATTGTGCCATCTCCTGGAACTAGATTAGTGTCCTTGCACATAGCCAACATTCAAAAAACAAAATTAAATGAATGCAGGCTTTCTCTATATGACTGTCAAGATGGCTTCCTTCAGGTCTATAGTCAAATGGTTCTAAATCAACAACGCTTATGTAAATGTGATTTCTGTTTCTTAACATCCAAAGGCTCTGATTGGCCATTTTGCATCAGGCATCTCTTCCCTGAACTCATTATTCTGAGTTATGACTGACATTCTGTATCAGTTCTCCACTTCCTAATCAAAAGGATTGAGCACATGTGACACAGAGTGGGAGAATGGAGAGCCTCACACTGTAGGCAGATCACACTCCTCTCACACATAAAAGATCTCTTCTTTTTATATGTCATATTTTTTCTGTGATTCATTTTTTTCTCATACATTTTATTGAATAGAGATTTATATACAGGTATTTTTCCCCAAACTCAGTGAATATATACTCTTTTTATTTTCTCACTCTAAAGATGGAATCTGTCAGGATATTTTTCTCAGATTTTCAGCTACAAGGCTGTTTGCTATAAATTTCAATCACTCATTTGGTGTGATCCAGCAGGCTGGAATCTGAGCAGTCCCTGCAGGTGAACTATATCTCAGCTTAGTTACTTATTTTATTCAGGAAAGCCTCTATATGAAATATGAGATTTCAGTATCTCATATTCTGCTTACTCTGGCTACCACTCCATGGGAAGCATGGATACAGTGTGGAGCCCTTCTACAATTACCTGAATTTCTGTATAATATACCACTCATTAATGTTGAGCTTCCAAAGGCAACTGATTCTATAATCAGTTGAGACACAGAGAAGAAAAGATTTTTAATTTAAGTGAAATTTTCTGCATCTGTGGGACTTCTTTTCCTTTTCCAATGAAAGGCAGTTGTAGTGTGGTATCAAAGACCTGAACTTGGGAATCAGATTTTCTAGGTCTGTATCTGTTTTATTATTTACTATCTTTGCAAATATAGTCAACTTAACCTCTTCGTATCCTAATTTTCCTCATCTACAAAAGGAAATTGTAAAATAACCATCCAGTCATATGTTGCTTAATGATGGAGATACATTCTGAGAAATGCATCCTTAGGGGATTTTGTCTTTGTGTGAACAACATGGAGTGTACTTACACAAATCTAGATGGTATAGCCTACTATGCACCTACCTATCCTATGCAGAGGCTGTACCTACTATACACATATTATTATATTGTATAGCCTCTTTCTCCTAGGCTACAATCTTATACAATACGTTACTGTATTAATACTATAAGCAATTGTAACACAATGGTTATGTATTTATATATTAAATATATATAAACATAGGAAAATACAGTAAAAATTGGTATAGAAGATTAAAAATAGTATAACTACATAGGACACATACCGTGAATAGAGCTTGCAGGCCTGAAAGTTACACTGGGTGAGTCAGTGAGTGAGTGGTGAGTGAATATAAAGGCCCAGTGCATTACTGTACACTACTATAGACTTCATAAACACTGTATGTATAGGACTCACTAAATTTATAAAAATATTTTTTCTTTAATCGTAAATAAACCTGAGCTTACAGTAACATTTTTACTTTATACAATTTTTAATTTTGAAAAATTTGTGACTCTTATGTCACTAAAACACAAACCCATTGTACAGCTATACAAAAATATTTTTATATACTTATTCTATACATTTTTCTATTTTTAATTTGTTTCTACTTTTTAAACATTTTTGTTAAAAGCTAAGACATAAACACCTACGTTAGCTTAGGCCTATATCATTAATATTACTGTCTTCTACCTCCACATCTTGTCTTACTGGAATCTCTTTGGAAGCAACAGCACTTCTCCTGTAATTTCAATGCCTTCTTCTGGAATAACTCCTGAAGACCCTGCCTGAGGCTGTTTTACCATTAACCTTTTTTTTTTTTTAAATAAGTAAGAGTACACTCCAAAATAGTGAGAAAAAGTATAATATAGTAAATACCTAAACCAATAGCATAGTCATTTATTATTATTACCAAGTATTATATACAGATCCTAACTGAATGTGTTACACTTTTATAGGTCTTGCAGTACAGCAGGTTTGTTTACACCAACATCACCACATATATGTGAATAATGAGGGTGCTACATTACAGTGGCTACGACATTACTAGGCAATAGGAATTTTTCAGCTCTATTATAACTTTATAGGACCACCATTGTATGTTCTGTTAATTGTTGAGGGAAATGTTATTTTGTGGTGCATGATTGTACTTATACCATACAAAAGAGAAAGTAATGGGAAGACAAAAACAGTATTTTCAACCAAACATACTGAGATTGCACCTTGCACCAGTTACTTTCCTAAATGCTTTATAAGCAAAATAATTAATCTTCTTACCAATCCTGTGAGGTAATAAGTTCTAAGGCTTTAGATCAGTGATTTAACATTCTGTTCATATGAGAGAGTATTGCAAAAATAATTCAAAAAACATATTTTGCTATATTAATACTAGAAAGGCTTGTGTCACATTTAATCATCTAATGCAAGTGGGCAGAGGTGCTTTGTCTCATATAGCCATGCAAACCAAGATGCCATCTTTTCAGAAAAGGGTTTCTCAACCTTGGTGCCATTGACATTTGATTCGATAATTTTTTTTTTTTTTTGGATGGGGATGGGGGGATGGGAGAGGACTTTCTTTGCGATGATGAAATCATGTTTTAAAATTAGATTATGGTGATGGCTGCACAGCTCTGTAAATATACTAATAACCATGGAATTGTTCACTTTATTTTTTTATTATTTATTTTATTGTACTTTAAGGTCTAGTACATGTGCACAACGTGCAGGTTTGTTACATATGTATATATGTACCATGTTGGAGTTCTGCACCCATTAACTCATCATTTACATTAGGTATTTCTCCTAATGCTATTGTGGCAACTGTCCTGTATATTGCATGATATTTATGAGGGTCCCAAGATTCTATCCATTAGAATACAATAGTATCATCCCAGTTTTCATAAACACAAATTTCTCCAGATGTGGTCAGGTGATCCCTGGGTGGAAAAGGGAAATTATGTCATTAGGAATCATTGATATAGAAACTATAGCATTCACTACAGACCCAAAGACTTCACTGGATTTTTTGGGAGGTAAGAGGTTTGGCTGGTAAATAAGTCAAATTTTCCCATACCTCCAGGAAATCTAGTAATTATATTTTTTCAAAGAGAAGAATGAAATGAAGTTCGGTAAGCAAATGACTGTGTTTTTTTGTTTGTTTGTTTTTGTTTTGTTTTGTTTTTTGCCAAAATCTACCTTTCTGGTGATCAACTACCAATTTCACTCTCTTTTCCTCTCACACATTGAACCTACTCTGTTTACAAAGGAGGCACTTAAAATTTTGTTACTAACAGCATCCAGCTCAGGTCCTGGTTCTGTAAATAATACACATTATTCTGCATCAGGCATAAAAGTGCCTTCACAGTCCAGTAACCTTTGAATTCAAAAGACATTGCTTGTTCTGCCCACCCTCCCCCAACTAATATACAGTAGCAGAACAGAGACAGCTTAACTAATAAATAATTCATTTGAAAAAGAGAAGAATGGGAAAAGCAGATCGCAGATTGTTGAAAATAACAGTGAATGATATGGGGAAAACTTTTTGATTAGACTTTGTTTTGCTTTTTGATTTTCTAAAACATTTATTTTGGGTTCAGGGGTACATGTGCAGGTTTTTTATATAGGTAAAGTAGTGCCATGGGGGTTTGTTGTACAAATCATTTTGTCACCCAGTATGGGGGTTCTAAGCCTAGTACCCCCATAGTTATTTTGTTTATGATCCTCTCCTTCCTCCCATCATCCAGCCTCAGGTAAGCCCTCGTGTCTATTGTTCTCCTCTTTGTGTTCATGTGATTTCATCATTTAGCTCCCACTTAAAGGTGAGAACATCTGGTGTTTGGTTTTCTCTTCCTGAATTAGTTTGTTAAGAACAATGGCCTCCAGCTCCATCCATGTTCCTGGAAAGGACATGATCTCGTGTGTTTTTATGCCTGGATAGTATTCCATGGTGTATATATACAACATTTTCTTTATCCATTCTATCATTGATGAGCATGTATGTTGATTCCTTGCCTTTGCTATTGTGAATAGTGCTGCACTGAACATTCATGTACATGTGTCTTTATGATAGAACAATTTATATTTGTGTGGGTATATACCCAGTAATGGGATTGCTGGGTCGAATGGTAGTTCTGTTTTTAGCTCTTTGAGGAATTGCCACGCTGTCTTCCAGAATGATTAAACTAATCTATACTTCCACCAACAGTGTATAAGCATTCTCTTTTCTCAGCAACCTCTCCAATATGTTATTTTCTGACTTTTTAGTAATAGACATACTGAATGGTGTGAGATGGTATCTCATTGTGGTTTTGATTTTCATGACTCTAATGATCACTGATACTGAGTTTTTTTTTTCATATGCTTGTTGGCCACATGTATGACTTCTTTTGAAAAGTGGCTATCCATGTCCTTTGGCTACTTTTTAAAGAGGTTGTTTATTTTGTGTGTGTGTGAATTTGTATATGTTCCTTATAGATGCTAGATATTAGACTTTTGTCAGATGCATAGTTTGCAAATATTTTCTCCTATTCTGTAGGTTTTTTGTTTACTCTAATGATAGTTTCTTTTGCTATGTAGCAGCTCTTTAGTTTAATTAGATCCCATTTGACAATTTTTGCTTTTGTTGCAATTGCTTTTGGCATCTTCATCATAAAATCTTTGCCATAAAATCTTTGCCAGTTTCTATATTCAGAATGGTATTGACTAAGTTGTCTTCCAGGGTTCTTATAGTTTTGGGTTTTACATTTATGTCTTTAATCCATGTTGAGTTGATTTTTGTATATGGTGTAAGGAAGTGGTCCAGTTTCAATCTTCTGCATTTGGCTAGGCAGTTATCTCAGCACGATTTATTGAACAGGGAGTCCTTTCCCCATTGCTTGTCTTTGTTTACTTTTTCAAAGATCAGATAGTACTATGTGTGCAGTCTTATTTTTGAACTCTCTATTCTGTTCCATTGGTCCATGTGTCTGTTTTTTTTTCACCAATGCCATGCTGTTTTGGTTACCGTAGCACTGCAGTATACTATGAATTCAGGTAGCATGGTGGCTCCTGGTTTATTTTTTTGCTTAGGATTGCCTTAACTATTTAGGCTCTTTTTGGTTCCATATACATTTTTAAATAATTTTTTTCTGGTTTTATAAAGAATGTCATTGGGAGTTTGATAGGAATAGCACTGATTCTATAAATTGCTTTGGGTAGTATGGCCATTTTAACAATGTTGATTCTTCCTATCCACGAGCATAGGATGGTTTTCCATTTGTTTGTGTCACCTCTGGTTTCTTTGAGCAATGTTTTGTAATTCTTATTGTACAGATATTTCACCTCCCTGGTTAAATGTATTCCTAGGTATTTTTTTTCTTTTTGTGGCAATAGTGAATGAGATTGCCTTCCTAATTTGGCTTTGGCTTGAATGTGTCGTATATGGGAATGTTAGTGGTAATTGTACGTTGAGTTTGTATCCTGAAACTTTGCTGAAGTTGTGCATCAACTTAAGGAGCTTTTGGGCTGAGACTATGGGGTTTTCTAGATGTAGAATCATGTCATCTGCAAATAGGGATAGTTTTACTTCCTCTCTTCCTATTTGGATGCCCTTTATTTATTTCTCTTGCCTGATTGCTATGGCCAGGACTTCCAATATGATGTTGAGTAAGATAGATGAGAGAGGGCATCCTTGTCTTGTGTGGGTTTTCAATGGGAATGCTTCTGGATTTTGCCTATTCATTATGATGTTGGCTGTGGATTTGTCATAGATGGCTCTTATTATTTTGAGGTACTTTTTTCCAATTTACTGTTTTGACATGAAGTGTGTTAAATTTTATTGAAAGCCTTTTCTGCATCTATTGAGATAATCATGTGGTTTTTGTCTTTAGTTCTGTTTATGTGATGGATCACATTTATTAATTTGCATATATTGGACCAACCTTGCATACCAGGGATAAAGCCAATGATCATGGTGGATAAGCTTTTTGATATGCTGCTGGATTCGGTTTGTTAGTATTTTGTTGAAGATTTTTGCATCAGTGTTCATCAAGAATATTGACCTGAAGTTTTCTTTTTTGGTTGTGTCTCTGCCAGATTTTGTTATCAGGATGATGCTGGCCTCATAGAATGAGTTAGAAATAAGTCCCTACTCCTCATTTTTTGGAATGTTTTCAGTAGGAGTGGTATTAGCTCTTCTTTGGACATCAGTTAGAATTTGGCTACAAATCCATCTGGTACAGAAATTTTTTTTTAGTTTAGTAGGCTATTTATTACTGATTCAAATTCAAAGTGTGTTATTGATCATCCAGGAATTCAATTGTTTTTCTATTTCAGTCTTGGGATGGTGTATGTGTCCAGGAATTATCTATATCTTCTATATTTTCAAGTGTGTATACACAGAGGTGTGCATCGTAGTCACTGATGGTTATTTTTATTTCTGTAGGGTCAGTGGTAACATCCTCTTTGTTATTTCTAATTGTATTTGGATCTTCTTTCTTGGCTTCTTTATTATTTTAACGAGTGTTCTTTTTTATTTATTTTTTTTAAAAAAGCAGACTCCTGAATTCATTGATCTTTTGAATGGTTTTTCATGTCTCAATGTCCTTCCATTCAGTTTTTATTTTGCTTATTTCTTGTCTTTTGCCAGCTTTCGGGTTGGTTTACTCTTACTTCTCTAGTTATTTTTGTTTTGATGTTAGTTTGTTAGCTTGATATCATTCTAACCTTCTAATGTATGTGTTTAATTTCCCTCTTAATATGCCCTTAGCTGTGTCCCAGAGATTCTGATACGTTGTATATTTGCTCTTATTAGTTTCAAAAACTTCTTGATTTCTGCTTTAATTGTTTACTCAAAAGTCATTTAGGAGCAAGTTTAATGTCCATGTAATTGTATGTTTTTGAGCAATTTTTAGTTGGAAATTCTATTTTTATTGTCCAAGAGAGTGGCTGGTATGATTTTTGTTTTTTTGCATTTGCTGAGGATTATTTTATGTCTGAGTGTGTGGTTGATTTTAGAATATGTGGCAATGAGAAGAATGTATATGCTGTTGTTTTAGGGCAGAGAGTTCTGTAGGTATTTATGAGGTCCATTTGGTCCAATATGAATTCAGGTCCTAAATATATTTGTTAATTTCCTGCCTTAATCACCTGTCTAATACTATCAGTGGGGTGTTGAAGTCTCTCACTATTATTGTGTGGGAGCCTAAGTATCTGTGAAGGTCTCTAAGAACTTGCTTTATGTTGGGTGCACGTATGTTTAGGATAGCTAGGTCTTCTTGTTGAACTGAACCCTTTACCATTACAGTATGTCCTTCTTTTTCTTTTTTTGATCTTTGTTGGTTTAAAGACTTTGATTCTTTTTCCTCTTGCACATTATTCTTTATGACTATGGCTTCAACTTCTGGGATACTCTTCCAGGTCTATCATCTTCCTCAGTCACATCTAAAGTGTCATGCTTGGCTATGCCATCCTTACAGTTTGTCCAGTTTTTCTATATTGCTTCTCTTTTGAAGCTCATCAGTCAGATGCTTGTTAGACAAGGTTTATTGTTTCTTTGGCACTGAAATTCCCCCAAAATCTCAATAGGCTTCTTACCTATTTACTCTCCATCAATTCCATGTACTGTTGATCATATTCACTATTCTTTTCAAGAAAAAATTCTCAATTTTGCTTAATATTTCTGATTACTTGCCTCTATGCCTCCCTGTTTACTGCATGTTTTAAAACTTTTCTAAAGTGGAAGTTGTTTGGCTTAGAGATACCATACTCTTATTTTAATCTCTCATAAGTATAAAAATTCAGAAGGCAATGAAAAATCAATTAATAATTGTCAATGATTACACACACACACAAGCCATTAGAAAATTATAGGTGGAGTTGGTGAGATGGTAGCAGAAGCATCAAATATTCACATTTCAGGCTTACAATTAAAAATACCAAAGTTAAATAAAAAGAAAGCATCAATGCTAGTATTAGCAAAGATTGTCAATGACCTAGACATCAATATGAGGAAAATTTGGTAGATGCAGAAATAATGTAATATGGCTGAAAGAGGATAAAAATGGTTGAACTGAAGCTCAGTTCCTAAAAATCAATAGGCAAACATCACAGAGACCTCATTATTTGCTTAGCAATACAAGGATATGTTAAGACAGGAATGAATATATTTGGAGTCCACCTTTGTAAGAAAGAAAAAATATTTTGAATAAATTATAGATACTGAGAGACAGCATTTCCATTATGACTATGGAAATGACTCCCTAGCAGAGGAATAAACAGGAAACTTTTCTGTGTGTGTGTGTGTGTGTGTGTGTGTTTTTGACGGAGTCTCACTCTGTCACCCAGGATGGAGTGGCGATGACACGATCTCGGCTCACTGCAAGCTCCGCCTCCCGGGTTCATGCCATTCTCCTGCCTCAGTCTCCCGAGTAGCTGGAACTACAGGGGTCCACCACCTCACCCGTCTAATTTTTTGTATTTTTAGTAGAAACAGGGTTTCACCATGTTAGCCAGGATTGTCTCGATCTCCTGACCTTGTGACCCGCCCGCCTCGGCCTCCCAAAGTGCTGGGATTATAGGCGTGAGCCACCGCGCCTGGCTTTTCTGTGTGTGTTTTTTTTTTTTTTTAAAGAAAGACAGTGATACATTGGTGGACAATTTCTCTGGAGTGGTTACCTCAAAGAATATATATTGAAAGATAGTTTTATTTTTATGAAACTTGTTTTGCATTGAATAGATATTTGTATAAAATATTTAAAAATTACTAAAAATATAAAAAGGCATTTAAGGTATAACCTAATTTTATTATTTATTCAAAACATATAAAATTACCATCATATTGCTATAATTGCTTTCCAAATGTTCATTCCTACCTTCTGTCCTGATCTTCTTGTGTACCAGTCACAGTTTTCAACTGGCACTGGTTTGTACCATACACTATTATAGAAAAATATTTAGGTTTGGTAATATTAATTGCCCCCAAAGTCTGGTTTATAGCGTTTGGCTGTATTCTGTTTCATTTTTGCAGGGCGAAGTTGTATTGTGTACTACCAAGATGTTCTATATTGATTCTCTTACAAAATTCAGGAAGATTATCACCTAGGGGTGTTGTAAATTAGCTGTCATTAAAAGCAGTCCCAAAATTGATAAACAAATATTAGTATTAAAGGAGAGGATACACTACATATTTTGGAAACATTAAAGAGTAATAAGACAATACAACAGACAACCTTAAACATATACTTCATCAACTTAGATGAAAGGAGCCATTTGCTAAAAACCAAAACTAGCATAACTGATCAATAATAAAATTAAAAACCCGAACCATTCTATAACTATTAAGGAAATTACATTTGTAGCAGAAACATCCAAAAAGAGAAATCTCTTTGTCTATTGAAAAAAACAAACTTTATAAAATCTCGTCCAGAAAATAGAAGACAAGAATACTTCTCAACTCATTTATGAGCCTATTATTGCCCTGATACCAAAACAACATAGTACAAGAAACAACTCAATTCTGGAAATATATTTTTAAAAGACAAATAGAGATTATTCTGGGAATGTAAGGCTGGTTCTATATTTGAAAATCAACCAATTCTATCTGCCATACTAACAGTCTAAAATTTTTTAAAAACCCATGATTATGTTAATTGATCAGAAAAATAACTTGCCAAAATGCAACATGCATTTCTGATAAAACTGGGTATCAAACTGGGAATGGAAAACAACTTGATCAACTTGAAAAGCAGTGCTCATAAGAAAATCTACAGCTAATGATGCAGCAGCAGCCCATCTGGCGCTGCTGCTGCAGGGGAGGCAGGACCCGGGCTGCTGCATGTTCCTTGGAGCCAGAAGAAACCAGGAACAGGTGGACGCCCTGCCCCCTTCCAAGTTGGTGGGGCGGGAGCCCATGCTCCCAGGCACAGCTGCAGCCACTCAGCGGTGGGTGTGGACCCGTGAGTGTACCCCTGCAAGCTTGAAAGTGCCTGCTCTGGCTGCCTGGCCTCCATGCTCCCAGTGCGCGTTTGAATTTCAGAGCAAAGGTGAGGCTGAGCCCAGGCACTGTCACAACCCAGCTGGGTGTTCATGCGCTCTGGGCAGAACTGACATGCCAGCACCCTGCTGCCACATGTCCTTCTGGACTTTGGGCACTGATAAGCATGGGACGGAGGCCAAGGAGGGGCTGAGGGCAGCTTAGCATGGACCTGCAGGCGCCCCTTGGCACAAAGAACTTGGGGACCACAGATGGCATTTAGAGAGCAGAAGGAGGCAGACAGGCTCTGGGCAGAAAGGGGCGTGTCCATGGTGAAGCCCCACCTTCAAGCCGGGGAAGGCTGAATCCTGTGGGCCAGACTGCCAGTTCTGTGGCCTGGAGCTAGAACTTAGATGCTTTATTTCCAGGCCCACCCATGGCCGCTCATGGACCAATCAGCCTACACTTCTTCCCTTCTGAAGCCCATTAAAAACCCAGACTCAGCCAGATTCAGGCAGGTAGGATGACCTGCCTGCAGAGAGGATCTACCCACTTTTTGTCTCCTGAGAGCTGCGCCGTCTGTCACTCAATAAAGCACCTCTTTGCCTTGCGCACCCTCCAGATGTCTGCCTACCTAATTCTTCTTGGATGCGGGACAAGAACTCGGGACGTGCCAAATGGGGAGACTGAAAGTGCTGTAACACAAACAAGGCTGCAACATGCCCCCATGCTCGCCACATTGAGGGCGATGAGAAGGAGAGAAGAGCTGTGGCCCTTTGAGGACTTAGGAGCTCCCCAAGCTGTGACACCCTCTTTGGGTCTCTGTAGTTCCTGGCATCACCAAGCTTCCAGGTGGCCCTGTGTTCCCTGCTGCCCACAGTAGCAGCTGCTTGCAGTATGCCTGGTCCATCTTCAGACTCACAGGGAGCCCACACCCATGTTGGCGCCTGGAGCTTCCTGCCCCACCGCAGCTGTTGTACCTGGCTGTGCATAGTGGTCAGACCCTGCCCTTGCTCACTCACACATCCCTCACTGCTCTGCATCTGGCTCACCCTTGACAGCCATAAAATCAGAGCTGGTAGCATCAGCCTAGTGCAGGCTGCCAGCCTGAGTGGGCGGAACAAGCCCAGTGGGCCCAAGCAAAACTTGGGCAAAGGCACCACTGGTCACAGAGGTTTCTGGCTGCTGAAGCAACACCCCAAGGATCTTATGTCACTAGTATTGTACTTAATGGTGAAAGACTGAATGTTTTCCCCCTAAGATAGGGAACAAAGAAAGGAAGTCATTGTCACCACTCCTATTTAACTTTGTGGAGGAAAGTTTATCCAGTGGATTAAAGAAAGAAAAATAACTACAAAATATATAGATCAGAAAAAAATTAATAAAACCACATTTATTTGCAAATGGCATGATTACCTATTGAGAAATTCTCCAGGAATCCTTTAATTCCTTGAACTAATGAGTGGGTTTAGGAATGTAGACAACACATGAAAATCAATTATGCTTCTATATATTAGCAACTTAAGTGCCCAGGAACAAAAGAATAAATAAATAAAATGCGCTATATATACACAAAGGAGTATCATTCAGCCATAAAAAAGAGTGAAAGTCTGTCATTGGCAGTAACATGGATAAAACTGGAGGTCATTATGTTAAGTGAAATAAGCCAGGCACAGAAAGACAAACTTTGCTTGTTTTCACTTATATGTGGGAGCTAAAAATTAAAATAGTTGAAATTATTGAGATAGAGAATGAAGGAAGATTACTAGAGGCTGGAAAGGAGTGCGGGGTGAGTAGTGGTGATGGTTAGTGGGTACAAAAAATTGAAAGAATGAATAAGACCTAGTATTTGCTAGCACAACAGGGTGACTATAGTTAAGAATAGTTTAATTATACATTTTAAAATAACTAAAACAGTATAATTGGATTGTTTGTAACATAAAGATAAATGCTTGAGGTGAAGGATACCCAATTTACCCTCATTATACATTGCATGCCTGTATCAAAATATCTCATGTAACCCATAAATATGTACACATACTATTTGTAATACCCACAAAAGTTAGAAATTTTTTAAAAAATTACATACTGTATGATTCCATTTGTATGACATTTTCAAATAGATAAAATATGGTGTGAATATATCAGTGATTGCTAAAGGTTGGGGAGTTTGTGACTACAAAATGTTCTCATAACATAGATTTTTGGGGGTGATGGAAAATTTTTATGCTAATTGTGGTGGTGAATGGTGGTAATCTATAACTGTGTTAAAACTTATAGGAGTGGTATCATCCCCACCCATCCGAAAAAAAGAGAGAAAAGTCAGTCAGAGTATACTTTAGCGTATGTTATGATGAAAAATAAAATTTAGAAAATGACCCTCAATTATCAAAGCTGGCATGGTACATTGAAGTCTAGCTGGGGCAGAATTTTTGACAGAAGATAATTAGTATTTTCTACCATAGAACTATTGTATAGTTGGATTATGTGAGTCACAACCTCTTCTAACATTGTCACATACAGTCCAATACAGAGATCCCTTGTGGAAGTCTAGAAGGGATGTTATTATACACAATTGTGAGGTTTTATAGGTTTTTTTAGAGACAAAGAAGACCTTTGGGCAAATATCTGCTATTTAATGTCAAAAGATGGGGCAGTTGCAAGGTTGGTACTGCCCTGCACAGTAATTAAAAGACCTTACATTTTTTGTATTAGCTAATGCTCATAAGTGTCACATAGACAATTTTTAATTAAGTCCACATCATTGATTCATGCTTTGTCTGAAGGCATCTCATCTGGGGGAGAAGGTCTTAATTCTTCAGAGAGATTCTCATGTTGGGGATTTAAGGTTTTGACTGGTGAATAGATTCTTGGTCAGGTTGGCCTTTGGCTTCCTTGAACCACATCACATATTTCTCTTACATGATAAATACTGACCTTTTTGACAATTTACAATTGAGCTCATCTAGAAGCATCTTATTAAAAATGATCAGAATTTAATACAGCAGGATTTCACTTCCAAATTACATACTGCCTGATTGCTAAAAGGTCCCAAATGTTAGCCAGAGTGTTTTTGAAATTGAAAAGCCTATGCCAGCTTAAAAATAAAATGTATTCAACATTTTTAAAGCCCTTATTTTAGAACATCTAATTTTAAAAGTTTTGACCATATATCTTTTCAAGGTAATAAAAATTCCTATTGTTTTTAACAAACATTACCTTATTAATGTTGTGAAATTAACATGTGTTCATTATACAGTCATTCAAACACAATAGAAAATTTCAAAGGAAAAATAAGAACCCTATTCAAGCTACCAGCATAAACACACACACACATACACACACACACACACACACAGACACCCACACACATACATATATAACATATTTTCAGTCAGATAGGATACAAAACTATATAGAACCGTCCTCATTGAAGGCTAAAATCCTGTTTTAGGTGATCTTAACACACACACTAACTGGCTGCTTGCATCAGATAGGGCTCCTCATAAAATCTAGAAAAATCAGTAAGGACAAAAAAAGAGATACAACTCAACAATGTGAGGAATGAATTAGGGAATATTCAAACACAGCCTGCAACCATCACAAAGATACTAAAGAAATACTGTATGTAAAATTAAATTTTAATATTCAACAACTTAGAATTCCTTGAAAAAATATGATATCAAAAGTCACCCAAGGTAATATAATGTGAGTAGCTGTATAACCATTTAAAAATTGAATTTTTAATTAAAGAGTTCCAAAAAAGGAAATCTTTATGCCCCGATGGTTTTACTAGATGAATTTAGCAAACATTTAGGAAAGAAATTAACACAAATGTCTACAACCTTTTCTAGAATATAGAAAAAGAGAAAACTTCCAATCCATTTTATGAGGCCAGTGGTTCTCTAATAAAAAAACCAATCTCAGCATAAAAAACAAGCAAACAAAATCACTCATGAACATGCATACACAAAACCTTAACACAATTTTAGCAAATTGAATCCAACAGTGTATAAAAACAATAATACACCATAACTGTATTGGGTCATTTATTCCCGGTACTCAAAGCTGGTTCTATATTCAAAAATCAATCATTGCAATCCACCATTACAACAGGTAAAAGCAGAAAAGTCACATGATCATATCAACTGAAGCAGAAAAGGCATTTCACAAAGTTCGGCACTCATTTATGATTAAAAATTTTCATTATACTGGAATGGAGAGGAATTTAATGGTGAAAGACTGAATACATTTCTTGAAAATCAGGAACAAGGTATGGTTATTCTGTCTCTCCATTCTTTTTGGCATAGCACTGGAAATTCAGGCACTACAATAAGACAGAAAAAAAATAAAATGCATGGCAGATTTGAAAGAAAGAAATAAAATGGTGTCTCTTGGCAGACAACATGATTTTCTATGTAGGATACCCCGAGGAATCTACACAAGTAAAAACCAAATAGATTTATGTGAGTTAAATAAAGTCACAAGACATATGATCAACAAAAATCAATCATATTTTTAGATAGCAAAAATGAACAAGTATAAACAGAAATTACACCCACAATACAATTTACAGTTTTTCCAAAAAATGGTATATTAAATATAAGCCTAACATGGCATGTACAGATTCTGTATGATAAAAATAATAAAATGCTGATGGAAGAAATTAAAGAACTACTTGAAGAGACATGATATGGATGTGATTTGGAAGACTCAACATCATAAATTTGTCAATTTTCCCTAAATTACTTTATGAATTACAGAAGTACAATATCTCAGCATATTTATTGTATACATAGAAAAGCTTATTCTAAAATTTATATAGAAAAGCAAAGCCCAAAAATAGCCAAAGCAATTTTAATTTTATTAAATGGTGCTTAAGCAAAAGGGGGTTGTAGATTAAAGTGTAAAACTATAAAACTTCTAAGAAAATAATATAGTAGAAAATATTTGGGAACTACAACTTAGCAATGAGTTCTTAGACTCAGCATCAAAAGCAGGAACCATAGTGGAATGACTGATAAATTGGAACTTATCAAAATTAAAACCTTTTACCTTGAGAGAAAGATGAAAAGATAAGCTGCATGGTGGAAGAAATATTTTCAAATCACATATCTGACAATAGATATAAAATACAAAGGACTCTTAAAACTAGACAGTGAAACAAACAAAACAATCCACGCAGAAGGTGGGTAAAATACATGCACAGACACTTTCTGAAGATTATATGGGAAATAAAAATATGAGAGACATTTAACTTCCTTAGCAATTAAAGAAATGCAAATTAAAACCATAATGAAATATTACTAAAACTTTATCCAAAATGGCAAAAATAAAAAATATCAAATAGTGGTGAGGATTTGGAGCTGGTGGGTCACTCATACATTGCTTTGGGGAATATAAATAGCACAGTCACTCTGGGAAACAAACGGTCAGTTTCTTTTGAAACTAAAAATGGACTTACCATACGACCTGGCAATTGCATTCTTGGGCATTTGTCGCAGAGAAATGACAAATAATTTTCACCCAGGGCCTTGTAAATAAATGTTCTTAGTAGCTTAATTTATAATATCTACCCAAATGTCCTTCAGTGGATGAATGGCTAAACAATGATACATTCATACATACCATGAAACAATACTCAGTAATAAAAAAGGGATGAGCTGATCACACACCTAAGAACTTGCATAAACCTAAAGAAAATTATGCTTAGATAATAAAAAGAACCCAGTCTTAAAAACATGCATACTGCATGGCTCCATTTTTGTAATATTTGTGAAATACAATAATATAATTATAGAGAAGGAAAACTGATCAGTGGCTGCCAAGTGACAGGAGTGAGGTGGGAGGGGATAGGTGTGTCTACAAAGGGGTAAAACAAGAGAGCCTTGTGGCAATGTACAGTTGAGTATCTTGATTTTGTTGGTGGGACACAAGGCTGCACATACGATAAACTGTACACACCCCTAAACACAGGGGTGCCTGTTACTGGTAAAATCTGAATAAGTACTATGGATTACACTAATATTGTCTTGTTGGCTTTGATATTTTACAGTTGTATAGTTGTAGAAAGTATTAACTTTGGGGAAGACTGAATGAAGTTGACATAGGACTTCCCTATACATTTTCTGCAATGCCCTATGAATCAATAATTACTTCAAAATAAAAATTAAACATTACTTTTATGAGGAGCATGTAAAATAATTTAAGAAAAACTAATGAATTTTCCTGTAGAAAGTGTCAGGTATTAAGCATCAGAATCTTGGTTTTTACTTAACATAGTGCACCTGAGTCTATCAGTGGCCTCAATATGTATTTATAGTGCTATAGTAATGGCAGATTACATGACCTGAAATGTTCCTAGTAATTCTCATTCAACACCCATTTAACAAATGTGGCAGACACTAAAACGATCTGTTCGGTCTGTATGTACCAGGTTTGCCCACTAGGAGAGTGGTAGCCAAGAGCACACTACAGCCTGGCCTCTGGAAGTTCCCGTTATCCAGACATACTGCTTTGCTTTGCTCTTTAACCTAGGCATCTTGAAATTTCAAAAGTATCTGTAGCATAGTTTTAAGGTTCAGAGTTATATTGAGGAAGATGTGGTGTGAATCCATGTGGCCTTCCTATACATTCAATTACATCCTGCTGTATATCCCTGTACAATGTCCTGTGACTCTACAATTATTTCAAAATAAAAATCTAATACAAAAACAAAAGCACATTTTTCTGAATAAAGTGTCGTATGTGATAATGTTAAGAGTTTTAATCAGACAAAGCTAGATTCTAATTTGGGGCAGAGGGTGGGAAAGCTGCTATTCAGACCTCAATCTAGTTATTCAAGACTAGATTTCAAAAACTTCTTCAAGAACAATTTTTAGTATATGTTATAAGATTTAGAATTCTTAATCTTTAGTTCACTAAAACAACAATATTTCTAAACCTCAGTTCCATAACTTCTAAAATAAAAATAATTTGCCGGGCGCGGTGGCTCACGCCTGTAATCCCAGCACTTTGGGAGGCCGAGGCGGGTGGATCACGAGGTCAGGAGATCGAGACCACGATGAAACCCCGTCTCTACTAAAAATACAAAAAAAAATTAGCCGGGCCCCGTGGCGGGCGCCTGTAGTCCCAGCTACTCAGGAGGCTGAGGCAGGACAACGGCGTGAACCCAGGAGGCGGAGCTTGCAGTGAGCCGAGATCGCGCCACTGCACTCCAGCCTGGGCGACAGAGCAAGACTCCATCTTAAAATAATAATAATTAATAATAATAATAATTATTATTATTATATTTACCCAAGAGAGTTGCTATCTCAGTCAAATGAAAAAAAAAGCATGTACAACATTTACAAGATGCCTGTGATGTATGCAATAAGTGCTATAATTGCTAAATAAATTTGCTATAATTTATGTTATATGCTAACTTGGGTCTGAGGGCTCTTGTATCTAACCTAAAGCATATATCAACAAATTTGTCTGCCAAGGGCCAGACAGTAAATAGTTTAGGCTTTGTGAACCATGCAGTCTCTGCAGCAACTACTCAACTCTGCTGTTGTAGTGCAAAAGCAGTCATAGATAATAGTAAGTGAGTGAGCGTGTCTGCTGTTCCAATAAAACCGTTTATTTGTGTGGACATTTAGCTTGCCAGGCTTACAAAAACAGACACTGAACAATAGAATGGTGGGGCATTGGGAGGAAGGTGGGACAAGGCTGTGGGTGAAGGTGGGTCAAGGCTGTGGGTGAAAGTATAAAGTAAAAGTAATTCCATATCATCCGTAACCAACAGCACAAAGCACAGAGTGGTAAAACATAGAAGTTGCAAAAGTGGCCGGGCCAGATAATGGAAGACTTTAGGTATTATGCTAAATTTAGAATTTGTCCTGTAATAAGTAATGGGGAGCCATTGAAAGGGTTTTGAGACTGCTGAGCCCTGATCTAAAAAGATCGTTAAGGAGATCTTCATAACATAAACATATCCTCTTTAGGTTCTGCTTCTATTGTAAGATGATATTTGAATAAGAGGGAAGAAAATCATTAGGTTATCTATAAAACAAATAGTGACTGCCAACTTTCTGGGGTAGAAAATTTCTTCATGTGATTATGGGAGAGCAGGCTAATCTGCTTAAAAGGAACAAGTCAAGGAGTTAAGAGACTTACAGGTAGTGCGGTGTGGTCGGTATTGAGATCAACGAGGATCATTTCGGAGGACCTCATAAGCTATGAAAAGGTCTTTATGTTTTTTCTAAGTGTGGTAGGATGCTCTTAAAGTATTGAGCAAAGAAGTGATCTGCTCTGATGTACAGTTTTTAAAAATCGCGTTGGCTACTGTGAGGCAAAAATACAGGAAAAGCAGACTAATTAGAAAGCTATTTTAATAATCTAGGTGAGAGATAATGATAACTTAGAAGCATAAGAAGTTATAAGAAAACAGAGTAGTAATTTTTCATTGATGTGACTTTTTAAAATAATTTGTTAGAGGTGTGATTGGTTTCAGAAATCCACTTGGATTCTCATATATGCTGACTACTTGTTTTAACTTTTAAGTGTTACTTTCCCCTATTTGACAATTTCCTATGGCATTTTCATAGAAAATTTAATGTTATAATGTTAGCACTTGATCTTGTCTACTTCATTGTTTCCCTATCCCTATACATATTATCTTCCCTTTACACCATTATTTTTCTACTCTGCCTCTCTCTTTCTCTCTCTCTGTCTCTCTCTCTCTCACTCTTTCTCTATGTATACACACACACACACACATATATATATACTATGTACATGTCTATACATATACACGTGTATACACATCAAATTATATTTGCTCTAAGTAGCTGGAGTTCTTGTGTCTCCAGCAAATGTAGGCCCTCCTTTGCAAATTACCACTGAGAATTAGTATTATTAAAATAATAATTATACCTACATTTGGCTAATTTGAAGAGTAATTGCCCAATTTCAGCCACAATTAGTCACTTGGCTATATTTTTCAGGCACGATTTCATTATGATGAGAAACAAACAAACAAAAAATGTGAGTTAGCTGCTCCTTTTACGATTTGCCTACTAATGAGCCTGTCTTCTGAACATACTTTCTTCACTTGAGTACTTCAACAAAGTACTTAGCATCCCCTAGGGAATTTCTTGGACTAGTGCAATGGAAATAATTTCCCGGTGTTTGAAGATTTTTAGATGTTTTCTGAATAGCTATAGTTCATTGAAAAACAACTTCTTCAGGCTATCACCTTGTGGGTAGAAAAAATAGTGAATCTTTTAATTATGAAAATATCAAAATGGGTTGTTTGTAATTAATCATCAGGTTTGTCTATGTCTCTACCTCAACAAAACAAATGATTACAGAATTCAGCAGTCAAAACTTGAAAGTATCTTTTATACACATGACATTATATAGTAACTGCCAGTGTTGGGCTTCACCTGAGTTCCATGTTCTTGGAAAACAGCAACAGTTAAAAATACTTCCCATTACCCAAACCTTTCGTGCTTAGAAACCAGCTAATCACTGCAAAGGACCACCATGACCTAATATTGTCCAAGATAAAACCTGTTTCCATCTTATCTCATGCCTTCTATAAGATTGCTGAATGCCTCCCTTATATATCTGCTTCGATTAATCTCCAGGCTCCCTTTTCTTTTCTTTCAGATATTTCTCATTAATGAACATTTACATTATTGCAATAGCCTGAATAAAATCTATTTGTTTGGTGCATTTGTTTTTCACACAAAGTGGCATCTGTTTCTAAACGTAGGTAACTAAGTAGGGAACAAGAATGTATTTTACTATTATAATAGAAACATTGGGGCTTATAGACTTATAATATGGATGGTTAAATCTGTGACAGACAATATCGAATGGCGAAATTTTAAAAATATCTACCATTAGAAATATTGTCAGGGGTGTTTTCTGAAACTACCAAAGTCAGATTGAGTGACAATATTTTTATTCTTATGATAAAAAGCTTGTTTTTAATAGGTTGGAAGAGTAGGCAGAAATACTTGTCTCAGTTTAAAATTTTTTAATGAATGAAGTGTAAAATTTTTAATGTTTCTACAAAAACACAGTGAAGCATGAATACTTAATAATGGAAAACATGGAATAAGTACATAATACAAATTTAGTAGAATTGACTAACAATGGAAAATATCCATAAATACAAATACACATATTAAGGCACAATAAAAAGACAAACTTACCAGTGAGAAATATTTATAAATATCTCATAATTAGTAGTGTCAATGTTTTTTATAAAATATGTCCTTTTACCTATAATGGGAAATAATCAATTGTCAAAAGAAAAAAAGAGAGAAAACAATAACTGAGAGAAAAACTTAAATAGCTAATTAATATATTGAGTATACTGAATGGAAATGTACATTCAAATAACGAGATATCTCCTCTGTTTTAAATTGCTGATTCTGCACCCCTCCCCACAATTTGGAAGACTAGATTTCAAAAACTTCTTCAAGAACAATTTTTAGTATATATTATAAGATTTTAGACTTATTAATCTTTAATACAGTAAAGCAATGGTAAAACTCCCCTCTGAAAGAATATTCAAAGCTAGAGAAAAATTCTACATAAAATTAAATCAGTGTAATTAATAATAGAGAAAAATTAGAAACAAATTGAATGTCTAGCAAGGGGGGAAGTGTCTAAACAAACTTTACAATGTTTATACAGATATAATATGAAACTTTAAGTAATAGGTTGTTGAATAATATGAAAAAATACTTCAAAATGTAAATTTTGGTAAATTTATTATATGCTTTTCTTTTCTGCATTTCCAAAAACATATATCTACATGTGTATTCAAAGCTTAACAACTAAAATCGAACTAAAATCCATTGCTGCTAGAAACATGAACTCAGGAATGGAAAGAAATGCTATGCTTAGGTCACTTATAGGAGGGATACTCTGGCCCAGTGAAAATTGAAAATGTGTAAGATTGGATATAACCAAATTATTATTTCCTAAAAGTAAGAAAGCTATGCTATGGAGTGGAGTTTTGGGTTTTCTTTGGAAAAAAAAAATCAAACTAGGCCTGAGTCAGAATGTTCAGATTAAGTTCCTACATTCTATTTTTACAAAACTTAATCCTAATTTCATTTTATAGAGTGATCATACAGCTCAGCTTTTAGTCATGAAATGTTAAGAAACATAATTGGTAGAATGTTTTTCTTTGGTTTTGGTGGAAATGAGGAACTTGAGCTTGAATATGCCTCTGTAGGCTTTCTTTAAGCAATTCTGATTAAATGCTGCATAATAGACAAGAGAGGACATAATTGTGCTTGTTAAATGCAGTCTCCATTTAACTGTCAAATAAGAGAGTAGAAAAAGGAAAAAAAATAACTATTGTCAGCCGTGGAGATAATTTCAGACAATCACAATAATCTGCATTACAATATTCTCTCCTATGAAAAAGACGACCATAACACCGTCACAAACAGCAGTTCAATGATAACCACTCAGATTTGATGCCTTAAATGTGAACATCTGTTTCTATCATTAAAGCTATCAGAGTGCTGTTAATTACTTGTCTTCATCTACTTTTAGTATCTGTAAATATATATTCAAAATCTAGAAAAGCAATTCCCATCATTTAAACAATTGATAGTAACATCTGATGATACTATGGGTATCATACCTGCATACAAGTGGGTGCTTCATTCTTGAGGGATTATGCACATACCTAATATATAAAATCTGTTTCTTATTTAACATTCTCCTATTTCTCACATTCATTGTTAGATTATATGTACATCATGTGTGTATACACACACACATAAACACAAACTGACACATACACACAGGCAAACATACAGAGAGAGAGGGATAGAGAGATAATGAAATAGATATAGATATATGGTAAAAGACAATTACATATTTGAGTATGTATCAATTGGAAGTTACTATAATTTAACTGATTAAAAAAATTCATCCAATTCAAAAACATAGAGCCTAGAACCCTTTAAAATATGCCATTTTTTTCTTTATATATATAAAGTAATGTATTTACAGGGATAATGTAAAATCAGATGTTTTAAATATCCTAGGCAGTGTTCATAAGTTTCTGGTGTGTCCTAAGTCTGTGCAAATGTTATATATGATACACCGTGGTTGGTACAGCATGCTTTCCATCATAGCTGAAAACAACATTAGATATAAAACTCTCCAATACTTCTACATTATTCGCTGTTAACCTGAGCTAGCCTAGGGAAAAGGGGGGAGAGAGGAATGAATGCCTTAGAAAGAATATTATAATACAAATAAAAATGGGAAAGAATGTCTGAAGGAATATTAGAACAATGGTCCCCAACATTTAGAACTAGGTCATTTTCCCTCTAGAATTTTCAGTGACTTAACTCACCTCTCAAAAACTAACAGTTGCTCTGTCCTTTCATCATTCAAAATTATGTGGGTAGGTAAAGGCTATGGTCTCCTTGAAGTATTATGCAGGAGTAACATGACCGAGATGAGCCGTCTATATAGGAGAAACAAACAGTCTGAAAAAATAACTCAAGAGGTTTCTACTTTATGATTCACCTGGATTTGACAGGATAAACACTATTCTTTCCATAGAAGTGATGTCTAAATCTAACAAGATGCAATAGCATCATGGAGCATTGATACCACCTCACTAAAACTTAAGTTCACAGCTGCTCTTCCCGAAGAAGAGTCAAAGAGTCACTGCTATCAGACTTCCAAATTGTAGTGGAATTCCTTCTATCTTCTTTGCTTTTCTTCTGAAATCTGGATTCAATGGCTCATATGAAGATCACAGTAAATTCACTCTTTATGGAGGTGTCTATCTCTCAGTATCATTAATCTTCCCAGTCTGGGTTGCGTATAATTTGAAAGTTATTTAAATGAGTCAAAAATATGAACTTTATTACTGATGAAATGTAAGCTGGAAGACAAGGTTAAATATTCTTGTTAATAATACCTTTAACATAGAAATCTATTAATTCAATTTACTCTCCCAAGAATTCCACCAGTGACTGGGCAGACCTTCTCCATCAGGAAAGAGGAGGCTCCTAGACAAATGAAAGTCTGGAGGACAAGAGGAGAACTTGTGTTTACTTGAGTTCTATACTTTCTAAGTATCCTGTATACTCAGAAAGAACCATGACAGATAAATCAGGCATGGCAAATTATTCCTCCAAATGTAACAATCAGACAGGGAAGGGTGAGCATTTACAACTTCCCAGGGAAGATTGAGTATAGGGTTAATATATATGTGTTAATATATGGGGTGGGAGATACTGAGCAAAAAAAAATTAGTAAATCAACAGGCCAATAGAAGGGATAAATGGAAATGACTGTACTTAATTTATCTAATGAAAGGCAAGAAAAGCATAGAACATGTAAGATAATATAAAATGTGTGATAAACTATTAGATTTTTTAACCAAATTCATCAATGATTACATCTGATGTGGGTAGACTAAATACTACAATTAAGAACAAGTATAGTCAGACTGGAGATATATATATACATATATATACACATATATATACACATATATATACATGTATACATATATACACATATATGTATATATACATATATACATATATACACATATATACGTATATATACATATATACACATATATACATATATATACATATATATACACATATACATATATATACACATATATACATATATACATATATATACACATATATACATATATACATACATATATATACCTATACATATACATATATATACACATACATATATATGGGGGTGGGGGTGGGGTGGGTGGGTGTCTGTGTGTTTGTGTAAAATAAACTTTTGTGTTCCTAAGTAGACACACTTAAAATATAAGGTAATAGATTGGTTGAAAATAAGGCCATAGAAAACATTTTTCATGAAAAAGCAGCCCAAAGTAAAATCAGTTGTATTATACCATTCCCATTGCTATAAAGAAATGCCTGAGACTGGGTAATTTGTAAAGAAAACAGGCTTAATTGGCTCATGGATCTGCAGGCTGTACAGAAAACAGCAGCGTCTGCTTCTGGGGAGGCCTCAGGAAGCTTCCAATAATGGTGGAAGGCAAAGCAAGAGCACACACTTCACATGGCCAGAGCAGGAGAAAGAAAGAGAGAAGGGGGAGGTGCTACACACTTTTAAATGACCAGATCTCACGAGAACTCATTCACCATCACAAGAATAGCACCAAGGGGATGGTGCCAAACCATTCATGAGAAACGGCCCCTGTGATTCAATCACCTACCACCAAGCCCCACCTCCAGCACTGGGGATTACAGTTCGATAAGAGATTTGGTGGAAACACAAATCCAAACCATATCACTAGTATAGGCATACCTCATTTTATTGTGCTTCACAGATACCTCACTTTACTGTACTTCACAGATACTCCATTTTAAAATTTTTATTATATTATATTGTATATTTTTTTAAAAATTGAAGATTTATAGTAACTCAGAGCCCAGCAAATCTATTGGTGTTATTTTTCCAACAGCACATACTAACTTCATGTCTCTGTGTCACATTCTGGTAATTCTCACGATATTTCAAGCCTTTTCATTATTTTACATCTGTTGTGGTGATCTATGAGCAGTGATCTTTGATGTTGCCTATTGGAATTGCTCTAGGGCACCATGAACCATGACCATATTAGATGGTAAACTTAATCTATAATGCTGTGTGTGTTCTGACTGCTCCACCCACCAGCCATTCCACATCTCTCTCTCTCCCTCCCCCCCTTAGGCTTCCCTATTCCCTGACGCACAACAATATTAAAATTAGGCCAATTAACAGCCCTCCAATGGGCTCTACATGTCTAAGTAAAAGGAAGAGTTGCATGTCTCTCACTTTAAATCAAAAGCTAGAAATGATAAAGCTTGTGAGGAAGGCATGTTGAAAGTCAAGACAGGCCCAAAGCCAGGCCTCTTTTGCCAAACAATTACCAAAGCATGAATACAAAGGAAAAGTTCTTGAAGGAAATTAAAAGTGCAACTCCAGTGAAAAGAAAACAAAACAGCCTTATTGCTAATATGGAGGAAGTTTCAGTGGTCTAGATAGAAAGAACATCAAACCAGGCACAATATTTCCTTAAGCCAAAACCTAATCCAAAGCAAGCCTTCAAATTTCTTCAGTTCTATGAAGGTTGAGACAGCTGAGAAAGCAGCAGAATAAAAATTTGAAGCTAGCAGGCAGAGGTTGGTTCAGGAGGTTTAAGTAAAGAAGCCATCACCGTAACATAAAAGTGTAAGGTGAAGTAGCATGTGCTTTTGTAGAATTTGTAGCAAGCTATCCAGAAGATCTTGCTAAGGTGATTGATGAAAGTGGTTACACTAAACAACAGATTTTCAATGTAGATGAAACGGTCTTCTATAGGAAGGGGATCTCATCTTGGACTTGCATAGCTAGAGAGGAAAAGTCAATGCCAGGCTTCAAAACATCAAAGTTTAACCTGACTCTCTCATTAGGGGCTAATGCAGTAGGTGAATTTACATCTAAGCCAATGCTCATTTACCATAAAACCTTGGAGCTTTTAAGAATTATGCAAAATCTACTTTGCCTGTGCTCTATAAATAGAATAACAAAGTCTGAATGACAATATGTCTGTTTACAGCATAGTTTACTGAATATTTTAAGCCCACTGTTGAGATGTACAGCTCAGAAAAAAAAGATTCCTTTTGAAGTATTACTGCTCATTGATAATGCACCTGGTCTTCCAAGAGCTCTAATGGAGATGTACAGGAAAGTTATTGTTTTCATGGCTGCTAACATCCATTCTACAGCCTGTGAATCAAGGGGTAATTTGAACTGTCAAGACTTAGTATTTAAGAAATACATTTCATAAGGCTGTAGCTACCATATATAGTGATTCCTCTTGAGGATCTGTGTAAAGCAAATTAAAAATCTTCTGGAAATGACTTATCATTCTAGATGCTGTTAAGAACATGTATGGTTCAGGGAAAGAGGTCAAAGTATCAACATTAACACAAATTTGGAAGAAGTTGATTCCAACTCTCATGGATGACTTTGAGAGGTTCAAGGCTTCAATGGAGAAAGTAACTGCAGATGTGGTGGAAATAACAAGACAACTACAAGTGGAGCCTGAATATGTGACTGAATTGCTACAATATCATAACAAAACTCAAATGGATGAGGAGTTACTTTTTATGAATGAGCAAAGAAAGTGGTTTCTTGAGAAGGAATCTACTTCTAACAAAGATGCTGTGAACATTGTTGAAATGATAAAAAAAGATTTACAGTAATACATATACTTAGATAAAGGAGCAGCAGAATTTGAGGGGATTGAATCCAATTTTGTAACAAAATTTACTGTGGGTAAAATGCTATCACAGAGCATCATATGCTACAGAAAAATCTTTTGTGAAAAGAAAAGTCAACTGATGTGGCAATCTTCATTTTTGTTCATTTTAAGAAATTGCTGCAGCCACCACCACCTTCAGCAACCACCACCCTAATCAGTCAGCAGCCATCAACATCTTAAAATAAGACTCTCCACTAGCAAAAAATATTATTACTCTCCTAAGGCTCAGATTATTATTAGCATTTTTTAAGCAATGAAATATTTTTTAAAATTAAGGTATGTGCATTGTTGTTTTAGACATAATGCTATTGCACACTGAATATACTATAGTATACTTTAATTATTACTTTTATATGCACTGGGAAATGAAAAGAAAATGTGTGGCTTCCCTTAGCATAATAATCACTTTATTACAGTGGTCTAGAACTGAACTGACAATAAACTCAGAGGTATGCCTTCATGAAATGCAAAACATAGTACAAGAGATAAAGAGGAATATTTCATAATGATAAAATGGTGAATACACAAGAAATTTATAACAATTTTAAATTTGTTTGCACCTAATAAACTCTAACAGGACAACTAATGAATTAAATGGTGAAATAGACAATCTAATTATGATGGAAGTAGCATCTCTTAACAACTGATAAAACAAGCAGCAAAACATGTGGTAAGGATGTTAAGGATTTGAACAAGACAATTAATAAAATTAACCTAAATGGCCAGTGTAGAACAATTAGAGCCAGCTCATGGCTGTGTGACCTGTGCAGTCACACTAAGCGCCATTCCTAGAAGGGCCGCACACTTGTTTTAATGCTCTAGCACCACTGTGTTGAAATTCTTAGTTTTTGAGCAAGGGGTTCCATGTTTTAATTTTTCACTGGGCCCACAAGTCAAATAGCCAGTTCTGCCAACAATTATGAAAAGCACATTATTATTATTTTTATTTAAATAGATTTTTGTGGAAAAGGTGGTGTTTGATTACATGAATAAGTTCTTTAGTGGTGATTTCTGAGATTTGGGTGCACCCATCACCCAAGCAGTGTACACTGTACCCACTGTGTAGTCTTTTATCCCTCACCCTCTTCCCACCCTTTCCCCCAAGTCCCCAAAGTCCATTGTATTGAGAGGTGAAGCCAGCTGGACTTCCTGGGTTGAGTGGGGACTTGGAGAACTTTTCTGTCTAGCTAAAGGATTGTAAATGCACCAATCAGCACTCTGTAAAATGGACCAATCAGCAGCATGTGGGCGGGGACAAATAAGGGACTAAAAGCTGGTCACCCCAAACAGCAGCGGCAACCCACTTGGGTCCCCTTCCATGCTGTGGAAGCTTTGTTCTTTCACTCTTCACAATAAATCTTGTTGCTGCTCATTCTTTGGGTCCTCTTCCATGCTGTGGAAGCTTTGTTCTTTCGCTCTTCACAATAAATCTTGTTGCTGCTCATTTTTTGGGTCCATGCCACCTTTAAGAGCTGTGACACTCACCACAAAGGTCTGTGGCTTCATTCTTGAAGTCAGCGAGACCAAGAACCCACCAGAAGGAACCAACACCAGACACAGTATCATTCTTATGCCTTTGTGCCCTCATAGCTTAGCTCCCAATTATGAGCAAGAATATACAATGTTTGGTTTTCCATTCCTGAGTTACTTCACTTAGAAAAATAGTCTCCAATCCCATCTCGGTTTCTGTGAATGCTATTATCTTGTTCCTTTTTATGGCTGAGTAGTATTCCATGATATATATATACACACACACACCACATTTTCTTTATCCACTCATCAATTGATGAGCATTTGGGCTGGTTCCATAGTTTTGCAATTGTGAATTGTGCTGCTATAAACATGTGTGTGCAAGTATTTTTTTGTATAATGACTTATTTTCCTCTGGGTAGACACCTAGTAGTGGGATTGCTGGATCAAATGGAGATTCCTTAGTTCTTTAAGGAATTGCCACACTGTTTTTCATAGTGGTTTTACTAGTTTACATTCCTGCCAGCAGTGTGAAAGTGTTCCTTTTCACCACATCCATACCAACATCTATTATTTTTTTATTTTTGATTATGGCCATTCTTGCAGGAGTAAAGTGGTATCGCACTGTGGTTTTGATTTGCATTTCCCTGATAATTAGTGATGTAGAGCATTTTTCCATATGCTTTTTGGCCATTTGTATACATTCTTTTGAGAATTGTCCTTTGATGTCATTAGCCCCCCCCCCTTTTTTTTTGAGATGGAGTCTTGCTCTCTCACTCAGGCTGGAGTGCAGTGGTGTGATTTCAGCTCACTGAAACCTCGGCCTCCTGGGGTCAAGCAATTCTCCTGCCTCAGCCTCCTGAGTAGCTGGGATTACAGGAACCCACTACCATGCCCAGTTTACTTTTGTGTTTTTTGTAGAGATGGGGTTTTGCCATTTTGGCCAGGCTTGTCTTGAACTCCTGGCCTCAAAAGATCCACCCGCTTGTCCTCCTAAAGTGCTGGGATTACAGGTATGAATCACCGCACCTCGCCCTTAGCTCACTTTTTGATAGGATTTTTTTTTTTCTTGCTGATTTGTTTGAACTCTTTGTAGATTATGGATATTAGTCCTTTTTTGATGTATAGATTGTGAAGATTTTCCCCCACTTTGTGGGTTGTCTGTTAACTCTCCTGGTTATTTCTTTTGCACAGAAGATTTTAGTTTAATTAAGTCCCATCTATTTATCTTTGTTTTAGTTCCATTTGCTTTTGGGTTCTTGGTCATTAGGTCCTTGCCTGAGCCAATGTCTAGAAGGGTTTTTCCAATGTTCTAGAATTTTTATGGTTTCAGGTCTTAAATTTAAGTCTTTGATCCATCTTGAATTGAGTTTTATATAAGGTGAGAGATGAGGATCCAGTTTCATTCCTCTAAATATGGCTAGCCAATTATCCCAGCACTATTTGTTGAATAGGGTGTCCTTTCCCCACTTTATGTTTTTGTTTGCTTTGCAGATCAGTTGACAGTATGTATTTGGCTTTATTTCTTGGCTATTTATGCTGTTCTATTGGTCTATGTACCTATTTTTATTCAAGTACCACGCTGTTTTGGTGACTATGGCCTTATACTACAGTTTGAAGTCAGGTAATGTGATGCCTCCAGATTTGTTCCTTTTGCTTGGTCTTGTTTTGGCTACGTGGGCTCTTTTTTTGGTTCCATATGAATTTTAGGATTTTTTTATAGTTCTTTGAGGAATGATGGTGGTATTTTCATGGGAATTACATTGAATTTGTAGATTGAAAAAGCACATTATTTTCAAGCACATTTAACTATATGTGTACTTATAGTCTGCTGTCTCACTTGTCTGTTTCCTTAGTTCAGTGAAGTTCAGATTTATGTGCAGTAGAATTCATACAGGTGGAGAATCTTAGCCTCTATTCCCAGATATTCCAATTTGTCTGAATTTTGGGCCCAAGAATCTGCATTTTTAGTAGGCAGGGATTTAAAGAGCATTATTGAATTTCCTGATTAGGGCATTCCTCCTTAAGAAACAAAATATGTGAGCCAACATACAACCGAATTACAAAATAAATTATTAGACACTTAGCAGGATATACTGCCCAAAGCTTGACTCTCTGAGAATTTAACATGATGAGTATAGGGGCTTTTAAGGAGTAAAATGAGGACACTAAAATTTGCTCCCTACCCCTTCCCTTCCACCGAGGTAGAAATGGGAAATGGGTGTTCGAGTGTATCAGATGATCTAGGACATATCCACAATGAGATTCTGTTATTGAAGAAAAGAAATGAAGGGGTCATTTGATATTTTCCATGTTGAGGAGAGCATGCTAGGGTCCTAAAGAGAAAATAAGAAGGGAAAACTGCGAAGTTTTACATCTGTGATTACCTATGATAGCCTCACTAGATTTCAGTGGAGTGGAATACATTGGTGGCAAGAGAGGCCCCATGCAAGAGCAGAACTCACCATCTCACACAGAGTGAATCCTCACCTGAGGGATTTCATACCCTATATGGCCTCCAGATGAGTAGGGCCATTGTCTTTCTCAGCTTTCGCATAGTACCCATACTATGCGAAATATATCTTTCAGTATCCACGGAAATGTGATCTTCTCTGTCCTTGCCTTCTAGTCATCTAGCCATAGCCTGAGATGTCAGCTTCATTAAAATTCTAAGCCGGGTTGTAAGCTTTCCACTGAGCGCTTTACCTGGTATGAAAGAGAACCTTAATTGCTACTGTTTTGGAAAGAGATTAGAGCATACGGAATCACTCTAAGCTTGTTAGAAAGGTCAGAGATTGTTTAAACAGCATCTCTGTATAAGCCAGATGTTTCATGAACATAACAACATTTCTGTGGTATACCCAATCATATCTCCATTGCCTCCTAGCAATCATGTTAGAAAACTGATAATGGAAAATCTCTACAAGGGAATGGAGATCAACCCATCTTTTGTGAGTAGTACAGAAAAATATTAGCTGTTTTGAAGGAGAGAGAAAATGGTAGGCAATGGATTCCAACGCTAACTTCGTATCAGGAGCTCCAGTGGAACTTTGAAAAGTTACAATGGAGGAACCTGGAAGACATAATGTTAGTTGAAATAAGCCAGACATAGAAAGACAAATACTGCATGATCTTACTTATATGTGGAACATAAAAAGTTGATATTATAGAAGTAGAGAATAGAACAGTAGTTACTAGGGACTGGGGAGGGGGGTATAGGGGAAAAGAGGAGAGATTAGTCAATGGATACGAAATTATACTTAGGAGGAATAAAACCTGGTGTCTTATTGCATACTAGGATGACTATCGTTAAAAATAATGCAAAGAATATTTCAAAATAGCTAGAAAAGAGGATTTTGAATGTTTTCACTACAAATAAATGATAAATGTTTTAGGTTATGGCTATGCTAATTACCTGATTTGTTCATTATACAGTGTATACAAGCATCAAAAGATTACATTGTATGCCATAAATATGTACAATTATTGTGTCAACTAAGATAAAAAATTTTAAAACTCTTAAAAGCTTACAAATAGCCAGTTCCTACCCTAGAGATTTGGTTTCAGTTGGTATAAGGTGGTTCTAGGTTTTTGTAATTTTGTCAGATATTGTGATTATGTAGTACGTCCCGGGTGAAGATTACTATGGTAAAGATTCTAAAAGCAAACCTAGATGCATTGGAGGGACATGAAGTTTAGGGCTTTATGCACTAAAAACTCAGTGTGGTTTATGTGATTTCACAAGAGACTCAAGATAATTTAATATGAAAATGTAATTCCTAAAGAACTGGGGTAGGAGAGATGACTGTTTGCAATCCAGTCTTTCTTGAAATAGACTTCTTAAAACAAGCAAAGTTATTTTATCTCTGGAAGCAGAGATCAGCCCCTTTGCAGATCCGATGGTTTTAGTTAGGATTGCTTCTGTGGTCAGAGGCTCTCTCTCAGTAGCCCTCATTACTTTATTCTACAGGTAATTTTTGAGCAGCAGTAGTGCATGATGGAGGGTTCTGATGGTGGAGTAAAAAAAATGGTAAACAGGCCACAAAAGGCCCCGACTTCTTTTGGGGAAGACAGACAATATGCAAGTAAACAAATACGTATATTGCATGTTAGGAAGTGATGGGAAACACAAAAAAGCAGCTTCAGAGTAGAGTCCAGGTTTATGAAGGAGTTTGGGAAGGCCATACAGGTGAGATGATCTTGGAGCTCACGTCTGAAGGAAGTGAAGATGTGAGGAAATGAGCCACAGGGTCCACAGGGTTTCCCTAGCATATTTTTAGTTTCTCCTTATTTATAATCCTTAAAGTTTCAGAATTTGAAATCACATTTTTGGTCTGTAAGATTTCTTTGCTGATTTTGTCATATTGTGCTTAAAAATGCCAAGTATTTGTCAATCTTAAAAAAATGCAATTACAGTTGTTTATATTTTATTCTGTTTTTCAGACTAAAACCATTTTATAATGGGATATTTCCTTTAAATCCTCATAAGATTCTCCCCTTTTCTCCTAAATTGCATTATATATTTGATGCTTTTACTCAGCTTGCCCCATTGTAAATGGACACAGGAAGATCTGGTATTTATCATAGTTTTATTTGGCTAGTCTGTGGTTATTCTAGGTGGCTGTGAAGAACATAGAGGGTGGGTACATACAACTGGGAAGTAACTGCTTTGCTAACCATGCCTGAGTTAGCTGAGGGGCTGCTCCTGATTCTTGAAGCCTTCCTTCACTGTGGATTACAGCAATCTTCAAGGTTTATTCCTAGTTGTCTGTGTTAAAAAAATTGATTGGTAAGTGTGTCAAGGTAAATGGGTTTTCTGTTGATATGACACAGCCAGGAACTGTTCAAGTTACTCAAGTTACTCTCAGGTCATCACTCCCGTTTCCCATGATTCTCAATCACTGCACTTCTGATGTCCTGTTTTATGTATGTTCCTGTGAATGTAGACCCATGGAGACTTGTTAGTTTCCTATCTGCATGATCTTGTTCTGTTATGTAGTGTAGTGGGCTAACACTTAACACTTAATTCTGGAGTTTGGCTTATATTTTTTGACGTCTGAAACCCTTTATTATTAGAAGTACATCTGTCTCCATGTTTAATGTATTTTTTACTCATTTCAAAAGAAACTTGAAAAAAAAACCCAGTTATTAAATGAGCTCAAATTGCTTTACTGAAAGGAAGTAAATGTCCTATCTATACCTAAACTTTAGATCCCTGTTGCTAGGAGAGCAAGAAGACCCATGGTTGCCTGTCTTCACCCCATCAAAGTCTCCAAGTTCTTTGTTCTGTGGTACTAACTCTAGTGTCAGCATCTTACTTATGGAGAGCTCCTAGAGATTTACAGTAAGAAATACTGGATACCCCCATAATTACTACATATTTCTTGTAAAATAAAAAGATACCAAAAATACTGACTGCCCAGACCCATATTGCCTATAACATGCATGTCGGCAGAGTGGGCATAACAATGAAAATAAGCACGTCATTATAGAAACAGTTATGGCATTGGAAATGGTCTTGCTGCCTTTCCATACATCTTACATCCTCACAGCTCGTGTGTAAAATACACAGATGAGAAATTACTTTTTGAGTTAGGATCATGGCTGACTTTTGTCATGTATCTTAAGCACCGTTTCAGGGATTATGCAAAAGGAGTAACATTCAATTATGTTGTGGGTTTTAAATTTAGCCAATCAATTTTTTATACATCAAGAGAGAGCAAATGTATAACACTTCATCATTGCCCAGTGAAACATTTAATACCTGGATTTATGCACCATTTATCTCAGTCTGCAGCCTTACATTACTCTTTCTTATTTAATTTACTCTACTGTATATGTGTGCAACAAATTTCCATTTTCAACAGAGAATTTTAATGTCTGCAGCAGAATACAAGTTGGTAGATATGGATTTTGTCAAGTTGAGGTATTGATAGTTTAGTTATATTCCTGATTCAGCAAATACTGTGGCCCTGGCATGTTTAACCCCACCCAAGAATATGAACTTTAAAATAGTGTTTTAGAATAAATTATATCTATAAGCCAAATCCAAGTGTTAACATATGGTCAAAAAATGTTGTTGATGTATGACTTCTCAGTCACTTTTCCAATCAAGTTTGAATGATGCTTTTCCATAAGCCAAAAAGTTCATGAGTCAAGAAACTACAACTCTAGAATGAAAATAAATGATGTAAGTTTAAGACTACTAATCACTTCCTATTGCCTACTGAATAAAATTGAAATTCCATGTCCATAGTCAGCGCCCCAACTGTCTTTGCAGACTCATCCTTGTTGTGTTACACACACACACACACACAAATCCACCCCCCCCCACCAAAAAAACCAGTTCATTTTTTAGCCATTCCTGATTCTTTCTTTGGTTTTATCTTCTAAATATGTTATTTATACTAACTAGATGTCTTTTCCAAATTGTCCAGATGTAAACTGCTTTTCTTTAAGATCTAGCTCTCAAGCATCATTTTTCCTTTGAGTTGCCCTTAGCTTCTTCAACAAGATAGCAAATGTTATTTCCTTCTCTGTGTTCCTGCACCACTTTCTGCATTCCTGAAATCTTGGAATTAATTCATGTACACATCACTGTAGATAGACTGTGAGTTCCTTAAGGAAAGAGAATGTAATTATCTCATCTTTCAATCCTCAGAAACTAAAGCCATGTTTGACTCTGAGTGGGCATTCAACTGAATAACAACATTAAAATGCACTGGTTAAATTTAGAATTTTTACATATGGGGATAGTGGTAAAAATATTTACTTGTAGTTTCATAGACATTATTAGTTTATTGAAAATTAAGAATGTCAGCATTTCTCTGTATTGTCAGCCACATATCTTATGTTGAATTTTCTGAAAATAAATTCTAAAGAAACAAAATAGCACTTCTGAAATTGTAACCAGGAGACATTCATCTACTTGCTTACTTTATAAATGTTTATGGAGCACCAACTAGATCCTCCACTTTGTGTGAAACACTCATGAAACCACAACAATCAACACAAACTAGATGTTTGTCCTCAAGCAATAAAAAATGAGCAATTTAAAAAAGTGCAATCGGTATTATTGTTACAGCCTGATGGGTTAGTCTTGCCCACTGCCCAGAAAAGCTAATGCACAGAGAACAGCAGGCATTGCAGCAAAGAAAGTTTTATAATTGCAGGGCTAGCCCAATGGAAGGAAAGAAGGTATTTGTCAACACTGTCTCCCAGGGAATTCCAGGTTCTTTAAGGGTACTTTGGCGGTCAGGGGGCTGGGGAACTGAAGCAATTGATTGGCTGGAAATGAAATCATGTAGCTGAGTCAGTTCATGGGCACGGGGTCTCAGGACCAGGTGGCATCTCATGGTTTAAAAAAATGCTCAGTCTGAAAAATATCTCAAAGAACAGTTCCTTAGGTTTCACAATAGTGATGATATCTTTAGCAATAGTTGGGGAAGTTATAAATCTTGCAATCTCTATTTACATGACTCTGGGGCAGTAAACAACTTACAGAAAAGCAAACTAAACAAGAGTGGGGTATTACTTAACTATGCGTATTCTTTAGCAAAGCTCAAGCCCCTAACATAATTCTAATGCTTTCTTATGAATGAGCCTTATTTTTTTTTTTCAAAAAAAGAGGGAGGTTAGTTTTTCTTTCCTCAAAGTTTAACTATAAATTCCTCTAATATTTAACTGACCTCCAGCTAGAATAAGCAAAAATCAAGTTAGCCTGTGGAGTTAGAAGCAAAACGGTGTCAGTCATGTTAGATTTCTCTCATGAATTACCATTCTGCTAAGGTGGTTTCAGCTCCCCTGCCCCATCTTTGGGCTTGAGCACATCTCATTCCTGAAATGTGGGCTAATGAGATGAAACAGGGTTGATGATCTCTCTGGCATCTTCTTGCTGACAGCACAGTTGAGGTTGCGATTGTACCCATATGAGGACTGAAACATCAGTTGTCTGCATGTACTCACAGGTATCTGGTTGAGTTCCCAAGGTTTGCATAACAAGACATTACTACTTTCATCCACAGTTTTAGCATAACACCTAAGAGAATAGCAGACTATAAGGTAAATAATAAGCCCTAATGAAAGGAGTGAAAATCTGAGTTTCAGAAATCCCTGTAAAAAATGATCTAAAGCTTGAGGAATCCAGGTTAATAACCCCAAAAAACAATCAGGCATGGGGCTATTAGTGGAGATAACCATGTCACTTGTTGGGAGATTTTTTCTACTCAGGTTTTAACTTTTCCTGAGGTGTATAAATAGGTGAAGCAAGTGGTGTTAACACTGCACAGACTCCCTCCTGTTTACCCAACAGGAAATCTAGCATGTCCCAATTGTCTAGGACTACCTGGACTAACAAGGGAACTTTGCTGAGCCCTAAAACAATTATCCCTAAGGTAGAAGATAGGTTTCTGATAACGTCTCTGATGGCATATACTCCATAACTAGGAACCAGTATCCTTAAAAGACTGTTGAGACAAGAATGAGCCCATTCTTGTATCTATGCCACAAAAAGGTATACCCCTTGGGTACACAGGTAATACCCTCAAGGGATAAGTCTACTAACGGACTCCTTCATGGAGAGCATAGACAAAATGGAATTGAGCCGTTAATCCTTTTTATGGGCTCTCCAGAATCCACGTATGTGATATCCAGCTGTAGATCTTGTTGGCATAGTAGAGAGAGATTTAGATTAGAGGTTGTTGGAAAGACAAATTGAGGTAAACAGAAAAAGGCAAACTTAAAAATGTTGTCCCATACTTCCTCTTTAGTCAGCTTCTTAGTATTGAGAATAGAGCGGTTCAGTTAAACAGCTGTGTCACATTCCAAGAAGTGGCATTGCAGATGGCCTAGGCCTCTATATACAATGAAGACAAACATATTTTTAATAAGAGGCATTTCTATGGGACACGGAAGAAAAACAAAGATTAAGATTAGGAACAATCTCTAAACCAGTTCCCTTAAAGTCTGGATGGCAGCCATTTGAAGTATTCAGACATTAGGCTCAAAGCATCTTAATCAAAGAGGAAAAAGGCAGTAGTAATCTGACAGGCTTTTTTTTTTTTTCCTTATCCATATCTTAAGGAATAAGTTTCAGCTTTCAGGGAGTCAGAAAAAAGGCGGTAGCAATTTCATTGAGTCCAAGTCAGAAAAATGGGAGAAAAATGTGAAAATGTTAGTTTGGAAACTTACAGCCAGAAAAGAATTTAGGATTTCGGTTCAAATTGTAGAAAATAATAAAAACTTAAAGACAATGGGCAACGCTAGAATCTAATAACAGGTGTACTCTAGTTTTATTCTTAAGCATATTTTTTCTCTCTCCAGTCCCTTATTTTTACCAAAGACAAATCGTACTACAATTTATTTGCAAAATAAGTTTTAGTCTTATCCATGGCCTGCTTATTTGTATAATGTGTAGCAAGAATAATTATTTACCATGTAAGCTCTTTTTAAAGCTTAGCTCTTTTTAACGTTTAGCTTAGCTGGAACTTTTCTATAAGGAATCTCAGATTAGACATTTACAAACACCTGTATACCCAGGCAAGGATTTTTCTGTGCCTGCAGATACTTGTATGAACTGGGTGAATTCTTCTCTTTCCAAGATCCCAGAATAACTTAAGGTTCTTGGGCCTGTCAGAGAGTGACATTCTTTACTTATCACAGGTCAAGAATCCTATAAAGCAACTGCATTGATAAGGTGTGATTTTTTTCTAGGGGGCTTTTTATTGACTCTATTATACATATAAATTTCTCAAAGCAGTCTGCTCATATCAGAAAATATGCCATTCCAGTCAAAGTCTTGGTAAAATAACCAGTGTCTCCAATTGTGTCCTATTATAAAAGAAGCAGTTTTTATTGAATTTATGCAAATAACTAGATTGCTATAAAATAAGAGTATTCACAAATACTTCCCAAATTCTAGAGAAATCAGGTACAAAGAAAGAAATATGTTTCAAGTTTTGCTCACAAGAGTATAATTTACTCAATTGTTAAAACCTGTAAATAACTCAAAAGAAATACGTTTTCTTGACTCTGAAAAGCAAAACAAAAAGAATCAGCAATATTTGAGACAAAAAGTCATAAAAAATCATTTCAAACTTCTCTTGTCTCAGTCCATTCAATTAACTAAAGTTCTGCTTGATAATGTGCCAGCAATCCTCATGAACACATTATGTCTTTAATGAGAGCTCTGGAAGATTTTGTCCAATGGCACAATCTATAAGGTTATCAGAAGTCTGAATTTAAAAGCACCTGTCAGAGTCCTCATCAACTCTCCTAAAGAAGCAAGTTCTGGGCCAGGTGTGGTGGCTCACACCTGTAATCCCAGCACTTTGGGGTTGAAGCAGGCAGATCACTGAAGGCCATAAGTTTGAGGCCAGCCTGGCTAACATGGTGAAACCTGTCTCTACTAAAAATACAAAAAAATAAAATAAAAAAATTAGCTGGATGTGGTGGTGCACACCTGTAATCCCAGCTACTTGCGAGGCTGAGGTACAAGAATCACTTGAACCTGGAAGGTGGAGGCTGCAGTACAGCCTAGGTGACAGAGCAAGACTATGTCAAAAATAAATAAATAAATAAACACACACAAAAAAGTTCTGAACTGTAACTTTTAGTAAATCACTTTCTAAGAAGACTCAAAGTAAAACAATAATTATGGATGACAAAAGTCTCAGAACAGCTATGGTTAAATACAAATACAATCCAAAGAAAGCCAAACATTTTTTTATATCTGACAGTGCTTTCTGTATAATCTTCATGTAACAAATCAGTCAAACACATGTCTCTCTTAGCCCTCTCAGAAAAATTAAAGATCAAAAGGCTGAATTTAGAATTTTATTTTGAAAAGTTTGTCAAATATCAAAGGTTTAAAACACCTGATATCAACAATCAGTATCACAGATTATTCATTTTGCCAAAGTGATAACTGAAAACTTTCAAAAAGCCATTCTTTGATAGAGTGAAGACTCCACTTTCCAAAGAACAAGACCCAATTAAGACATCATGAGGTCAACTGAATTCGAGTCTGTTCTCTCTCCCTCCGTCCCCACTTCATTTTTTTTACACTTTACTCAAAAGGCAAACAAAATTCTTTCATTATCTGTCACTATTACATGAAAATCTTGTCCAAAAGAGAAAATTAAATTTTACCTCTGCATGTAAAACTGTTTCTCCAGTAGTTATAATTACATATACTACAATGTTAACTCTTAGTAACTTTTAATTTTAGTGAAAAACCTAGGAGATAGGCTATTTTAATTATGTACTGGTGCAGAGCCAGAGCAAAGAACAGAGCTTCAGACGATGTCTGACTTTTCCCAGCATAACCAAGGGGCATGGCTAGCTCCACATGTCCCGACTTTACCTGGAATCTAATGGCTCTAAAACAGACAGGTTGAACAATTATCAGAAATGTTATAGAAGAAGTTATGACTTTAAATAATCTAACAGACAGTATCAGATCTGCCCAATTCAGACCAAATGTCTAAATTCTGAAAATGTTTCTATTTTACCAATAATTTAAAACTATCTTTATTTACCAAAGAATACCAAAGTCATTCGAACCAAAAAACATTTAAGTTGTGATTTTCTGAAAAAGTCTTATTTAATCTAAATGCTTACTCTTCTTTAAGCCAATTGATCAGAGCCCTTATATACATTTTGGTAGTGAACTATCACACACGCGACACATATAAACATATAGAAATAGACATAAGACAGAAGCAGATCTTATAGATTGATAAGATTCTTAATTTTCCAATTTTTAAAGTTTCTCATAATGAAAAGTAATTTCTGGTACCCTCGAGATGTGACAACGTGCTGGCGGCCCTTGCTCGCTCTCAGCGCCTCCTCGGCCTTGGCGTCTGCTCTGGCCTCCACTCTTGCCATGCTCGAGGAGCCTTCAGCCCGCCACTGCGCTGTGGGGTACCCCTCTCTGGGCCAGCCCAGGCCGGAGCCAGCTCCTTCCGCTTGTCGGGAGGTGTGGAGGGAGAGGCCTGGGCGGGAACCGGGGCTGCTGAGCGCCGCAATCGCGGGCCAGTGCGAGCTCCTGGTGGGGGTGGGCTCAGCAGGCTGCACTCAGAGCGGCTGGCCGGCACTGCTGGCCCCAGGCAGTGAGGGGCTTAGCACCTGGGCCAGCAGCTGTGGAGGGGGCGCCGGGTCCCCCACCACTGCTGGCCCACTCACTTCACGCTGGAATTTTTGCCTGGCCTCAGCCACCTCCCCGTGGGGCAGGGCTGGGGACCTGCAGCAGGCCATGCCCGAGCCTCCCCGCCGCCTGGGCTCCTGCACTGCGGTAGAATCCCTGACGAGTGCCGCTCTCTGCTCCAGGACACCTGGTCCCATCAACCGCCCAAAAGCTGAGGAGAGCTGAGGAGTGCTGGCGTGCAGGGCAGGACTGGGAGGCAGGTCGCCCATGGCCCTGGCAGGGGATGCACTAGGCAAAGCCAGATGGGCTTCTGAGTCGGGTGGGGACTTGGAGAACTTTTATGTCTAGCTAGAGGATAGTAAATACACCAATCAGCACTCTGTGTCTAGCTCAAGGTTTGTAAATGCACCAATCAGCACTCTGTATCTAGCTAATCTGGTGGGGACTGGAGAACTTTTGCGCCTAGCCCAGGGATTGTATACGCACCAATCAGCACCCTGTCAAAACGGACCAATCAGCTCTTTGTAAAACAGACCAATCAGCTCTTTGTAAAATGGTCCAATCAGCAGGATGTGGGTGGGGCCAGATAAGGGAATAAAAGCAGGCTGCCCCTGCCAGCAGTGGCAACCAGCTGGGATGTCCTTCCACGGTGTGGAAGATTAGTTGCTTCATTCTGCAATAAATCTTGTTACTGCACATTCGTTGGGGTCCCACTACCTTTATGAGCTGTAACACTCACCACGAAGGTTTTCAGCTTCACTGCTGAGACCAGCGAGACCAGGAGCCAAGTGGGAGGAATGAACAAATCCAGAGGCGCCACCTTAACAGGTGTAACGCTCATGGAGAAGGTCTGCAGCTTCACTCCTGAAGCCAGCGAGACCACGAGCTCACCAGAAGAAAAAACTCTGAACACGTCTGAACATCAGAAGAAACGCTCTGGACGCACCACCTTTAGAAACTGTAACACTCACCACGAGGGTCTGCGGCTTCATTCTTGAAGTCAGTGAGTCCAAGAACCCACCAATTTCAGAGACACCCTCAAAAGCCAAATGATCAGGTAACAACATAAAAGGGAGCAAAGGTTTAGGTTTGAAAGGAATGTGTACCCTTACAATTCTTGGGGTTTCATGAGAAAAATAGTTTTTCCCAAAACAGTCTGTGACACCTTTTCTGTTTTTCCCAAGGGTTCCAAATTCAAAGCTTACATTGTCCTCAGGCAAGCAATAAATCAATACATGGAGGTTATGCATTGGTTTGGACTAAAAAGGTAGAATATCTTGAAGTGGGGGCTTATAGGTCATAGGTGGATTCAAAGATTCTCTGACTTGTGATTGGTTAAGGAAGTAAGCTTTGTCTAAAAACGGGTCAGAGAAAGGAATGTTAAGGTCTGGGCTGTTAATGTGACTTTCTCCAGGCCCTTTGGGAAGAAATTTAGAACAAAGAACGGCAGCTGGAGTTCAGCCCTTAGTTGTCCCTTATGTGAGGTCTAGTGCCAGCATATGACATTTCCCATTTGGTTGTGGGGGCGGGGGGCAGATTTCATAAAACAACTCGGGCATATGTTAAGATGTTACTTTTAGTTTCTATAAGGAATCAAATATCCCGTGACTCTTTTAATTTTCTTGGCTATTGTTTTAAGCTCTTACTACCTTCTTGCTTATCAAGTTGTTCATTTATTTCTCAAGGCTAGCCAGATGCCTGAAATTTCTCTTGAAGGCACTCAAGATTTTCCTTTATTGTCATGCTAGAAGGGGGCTTGGCAGACCCCTAAAATGGGTCCCTGCTCCATCTCAGCCATAGGCGTGAAAACAATAGATCCTTAGCACAGGAACAGACACCTAGACTTACGGAAAAAGATTAAAAACTTAAAACAATGTATGTTGTAAGCTTATATACAATAAAGTTGCCATGAGAAATTCATAGGTGATAAGAGGACTCTTTGGAGGGTAGTTTTCAATAAAATAACTCATTACATGAGGAGTAATAAAATGAAAACCAGCAGATACAAAGGTGGATTAAAAATCAAAATATACATAACTATAAATTGAATACAACTCAGGCAGGAGAATGTTTTTAGGACTTTGTTGTGGAAAAGAACTTTGCAAATGAGGCCTCTTCTAGTTTTTTTAATGTATCAAAATTGAGTATTTCTTTTCAACCAAGGCCAACATAGACAAAGCTAATGAGAGATGGCAGATGAATAATATATACAATTTATAAAAATTGTTAGGAAATATGAAAAAAAACAGAAAACCTAGTAAAAGTAAGTTGAGACTACACAGCATAATGGTTAAAAAAAATCTGCAAGCATTTGAAGAAGATATATTATTTTATACTAAAATCCACAATGGAACATTGTGGCAAGATTATAAAATCTGTCAAAATTATAATGCCAACTTACATGGTGTAAGGCCAGATTACACAGGTTAAAGGGCAACAGTCCTCCATGAGCGTGCTCTCACTTCAGACACCAGTCACAAGTTTAGGAGTCCCCAGGGCCACCCTCACTTCTGTCCAACGGCTATAGTTTTGTCACTCCTGACTAAACTAGTTAGATGTTCATTAATCTATTTCTTTTTCTTAGGCACACAAGAATTATGTTACAGATTATATTATTCACCTAACCTTCTGAGAGGTGACAGCATGCTGGCAGCCCTCACAGCCCTTGCTTGCTCTCGGTGCCTCCTTGGCCTTGGTGCCCACTCTGGCCACGCTTGAGGAGCCCTTCAGCCCGCCGCTGCACTGTGGGAGCCCCTTTATGGGCTGGCCAAGACCAGAGCCGGCTCCCTCAGCTTGCAGGGAGGTGTGGAGGGAGAGGCGCGGGCGGGAACTGAGGCTGCGTGCGGCACTTGCGGGCCAGCGCGAGTTCCGGGTGAGCATGGGCTCAGCGGGCCCCGTGCTCAGAGCGGCCAGCCGGCCCGCAAGCCCTGGGCAGTGAGGGGCTTAGCACCTGGGCCAGCAGCTGCTGTGCTCAATTTCTCACCAGGCCTCCCCGCGGGGCAGCGCTTGGGACCTGCAGCCTGCCATGCCTGAGCCTCCCCCACCTCCGTGGGCTCCTGTGCCGCCTGAGCCTCCCCAACGAGTGCCGCCCCCTGCTCCATGGTGCCCAGTCCCATCGACCACCCAAGGGCTGAGGAGTGCAGGTGCAGGGCGCGGGACTGGCAGGCAGCTCCACCTGCAGCCCTGGTGCAGGATCCACTGGGTGAAGCCAGCTTGGCTCCTGAGTCTGGTGGGGACTTGGAGAACCTTTATGTCTAGCTAAGGGATTGTAAATACACCAATCAGCACCCTGTGTCTAGCTCAGGGTTTGTGAATGCACCAATCGACACTCTGTATCTAGCTACTCTGGTGGGGACTTGGAGAACCTTTGTGTGGACACTCTGTATCTAGCTAATCTAGTGGGGACGTTGGAGAACTTTTGTGTCTAGCTTAGGGATTGTAAACGTAGCAATCGGCACCCTGTCAAAACGGACCAATCAGCTCTCTGTAAAATGGACCAATCAGCAGGATGTGGGTGGGGCCAGATAAGAGAATAAAAGCAGGCTGCCCGAGCCAGCAGTGGCAACCTGCTTGGGTCCCCTTCCACACTGTGGAAGCTTTGTTCTTTTGCTCTTTGCAATAAATCTTGCTACTGCTCACTCTTTGGGTCCACACTGCCTTTATGAGCTGTAACACTCGCCGCGAAGGTCTGCAGCTTCAATCCTGAAGCCAACGAGA